>NC_000023.11:83977693-84280723 GCF_000001405.40 Homo sapiens | reverse complement strand
TCACAGAACTAGAAAAAAGTACTTTAAAATGTATGTAGAATCAAAAAAGAACTCAAATATCCAAGGCAATCCTAAGCAAAAAGAACAAAGCTGGAGGCATCATGTTACTGAAATTCAAACTACTACAGGGCTATAGTAATCAAAACAGCATGGTACTGGTATGAAAACAGGCAAAAAGACCAATGGAGCAGAATAGAGAGCCCAGAATTAAGGCCGCACACCTACAACCATTTAATCATCTACAAAGCTGACAAAAACAAGCAATGGGGAAAGGACTCCCTCTTCAATAAATGGAGATGGGAAAACTGGCTAGCCATAAGCAGAAGATGAAAACTGGACTCCTTTCTTACACTATGTACAAATACAAACATCAACTCAAGATGGATTAAAGACTTAAATGGAACACCTAAAACTATAAAAACCCTGGAAAACAACCTAGGTAATACCACTCTGGACATAGGAAAGAGCAAAGATATCATGATGAAGAAGCCAGAAGAAATTGCAACAAAAGCAAAACTTGACAAATGGGATCTAGTTAAACCTAAGAACTTCTGCACAGCAAAAGAATCTATCAGCAGAATAAACAGACAACTTACAGAATGGGAGAAAATATTTGCAAACTATGCATCTGACAAAAGTCTGTTATCCAGCACTTATAAGGAATTTAAACAAATTTACAGGGCAAAACAAACAACCCCGTTAAAAAGTGGGCTAAGGACGTGAACAGACACTTTTTGAAGGAACACAAACATGCTGCCAACAAGCATATGAAGAAAAGCCCAATATCACTATTAGAGAAATGAGATACCATTTCACACCAGTCAGAATGGCTATTATTAAAATATCAAAAAATAACAGATGGTGGGGAAAGGGAACGCTTATACACTGTTGTTGGGAGTGTGAATCAGTTCAACCATTTTGGAAAGCAGTGTGGCAATTCTTCAAAGAGCTAGAAACCAAACTACCATTCGACCCAGCAATCCCATTACTGGGTATATAACCAAAGGAATATAAAGCACTGTACCATAAAGACACGTGCATGCAAATGTTCATTGCAGCGCTATTCACAATAACAAAGACACGGAATCATCCTAAATGTCTATCAATGACAGATTGGATAAAGAAAATGTGATACATATACACCATAGAATACTATGCAGCCATAAAAAAGGAGATCATGTCTTTTGCAGAACATGGATGAATCTGGAGGCCATTAGTCTTAGCAAACTAATGCAGGAACAAAAAATCAAACACTGCATGTTCTCACTGATAAGTGGGAGCTAAATGAGGAGAACACATGAACACAAAAAGAGGAACAACAGCCACAGGGGCCTACTTGAGGCTAGAGAGTGGGAGAGGGGAGAGGATCAGAAAAAATAACTAATGGGTACTAGGTTTAAAACCTGGGAGATGAAACGACCTGTACAGAAAACCCCCATGACACAAGTTTACATATAACAAAGCTGCACATTTACCTCTGAAGGTTTTTAAAAGTTTTTTTTTAAAGAAATGGTTTTCTCTTAGTCATTTATTCATTCAATAAATATTTACTGATTGTGTACTGTGTGAGGGAACTGTACACCTGAATAAGACACGTTTCTAAGGAGCTTATGATTTAAAAAGGGCAATGTGTAGAACTAACTATAACCCAAAGCAATATGACCTCGGTTCCCTAAGACTAGTATCAGCATAGCACTCTGGTAGTTCAGAGGAAGGAGGGTTTTCCTGACTGGGGAAAATCAGATAAGATTTGAGGAAGTAGTTGGGCATTTAAGCCAGGTCTGAATTTTCTCTCATTTATAATGACGGTGTGGAGATAATCTCAGATGAGCTCTGAGAGAAATGGTCCTGCCATTCTGTCTCACACATTATACAAGATGTGGCTGTAAAGCAGTGGGACTGATTTTCTCATGTGGCTCTAAACTGCCTCTGATGACAATTCCGAAAGAGAAGCTCTTGCATTGCTCAAAGCAAAAGCAGCAGAATTAGAATAAAATGTGTAGCTTCCAAAGTGGTTACTTTGAAGGGAACACCACTCATTTGACTGTACAGTCTGAACATGTTATAATAAGTGACACCTCATTTTCAGATAAGTATTACTTTTGCTTAACAAAGTTATTACTCCTTCTTTGGTCATATACCAAGATCTGAGAGGGCATACAATGATAGCATCCTAGGCCTGCAATGTAATCTTCTTTATCCAATCACCTTAAGGAAAAAGGTAAAGGACATTGTGAGTTGAGCGGCTATGACAAAGAGCCTTTGAAACTCCTGAGAACTTCCCGAATAAGATAAACCTCCTGTGTCTCAAAGAAACAGGTGGCCAATAAAATAACATTTACAGTGAGACTGCATAACTGTAAATGTAAGAATACAAGAAGAAGAATTTCAAATGAGCTACACCTCCTTCTTAGACTGAAGTAGTTTAAGCTACAGGAATAAAATAGTTTTACAGAGGTTGTATGACTAAGCCAAACATCACAATTAAGTCATATTTTACAGATTGAAATAAAATATGCTAGAAATGAATGCAAAGATGTGAACCTTTAAAATACATAATAAAAATGACTGGGAGCATATAGCATGACATGTAATGGAAAAGACTTCTCTTTTAATCATCAGTAAAGTATATTTATAAATAAGTTAATTATTCTTTCTGTAATATTTTAAAAATTGTGATTAAAACACAATATAAAATTTACCTTCTTACGCTGTGGCTCACACCTGCAATTCCAGCACTTTGGGATGGGTGAGGTGGAAGAATCACTTGAAGACAGGAAATTCAGACCAGCCCTGCCAAAATAGTGAGATCCCATCTCTAAATAAATAAATAAATAAATAAAAATAAGCTGGGCGTGATGGTGCACAGCTCTAGTCCCAGCTACTTGGCAGGCCGAAGCTTGAGCCCAAGAAATTGAGGATGCGGTGAGTCGTGGTCACGTTACTGCACTCCAGCCTGATTAACAGAGTGAGACATTTTCTAAAAAAAAAATTTCCCCTCTTAATCATTTTTAAGTGTGCAGTTCAGTGGCATTAACTATATTCACATTTTTATGTATCAGATCTCTAGAGCATTTTCAACTCGCAAAACTGAAACTGTATATCCATCAAACAAATCTCAATTTCCCCCTCCCTCAGCTCCTGGCAGTCACTATTCTACTTTCTGCTTCCTTGATTTTGACTACTCAGGTTATCTCATATAAGAGGAATCCAAGTGACTGGCTTATTTCACTCAGCATAATGTCGGGAAGTGTCATCCGTGTTGTAGCATGTGACAGAATTTTTTCCCATTTTAAAGCTGAATAATATTCAATTGCATGTGCATACCCCATTTCCTTTATCCATTCATCTGTCAGTGAACACCTGGGCTGCCTCCAACTCTTGGCTATTGTGAATAACACTGCAATGAACATGAGTGTACAAATATTTATTTGAGAGAGCCTGCTTTCAATTCTTCTTGATATACACACAAAACTGGAATGGTGGATCATATGGTGATTCCATTTTTAGTTTTTTTGAGAAACTTCCATTCATTTTTCCATAGTGACTGCACTATTTTACATTCCCATCACCACTGCACAAAGGTTCCAATTTCTCACCCATCCTTGTCACTCTTATTATTTTTGTTTTTGATAGTGGCCATTCTAGCGGGTGTGAGGTGATATCTCATTGGGATTTGTATTTGCGTTTCCTTAATGATCAGTGATGTTGAACATCTTTTCCTATGCTTGTTGGACATTTGTACACCTTACTTCGGGGAAATGTCTATTTAGATTCTTTGCCCATTTTAAAATCAGGTTATTGTTTTTATGTTGTTGGGTTGTAAGTGTTCTTCATATATTCTGAATATTAATCCCGTAACAGACATATTATTTGCAAATATTTTATCCTATAATAGGTTTCTTTTTTATTTCAATAGGTTTTTGGGGAACAGGTGATGTCTGGTTACATGAATAAGTTCTTTAGTAGTGATTTCTGAGATTTTGGTGCAGCCATCACCTGAGCAATGTACACTGTACCCAATGTACGCTGTACCCCCAACCCTTCCCCCAAAGTTTCCAAAGTCCATTGTGTTATTCTTATGCCTTTGCATCCTCATATCTTAGCTCCCACTTATGAGTGAGAACATACGATGTTTGGTTTTCCATTCCTGAGTTACTTCGCTTACAATAATCGTCTCCAATTCCATGCAGGTGGCTGCAAATGCCATTATTTCATTCCTTTTTATGGCTTGGTAGTATTCCATGATATACATACATACCACATTTTCTTTATCCACTCGTTGATTGATGAGTATTTGGGCTGGTTCTATATTTTTACAATTACAAATTGTGCTGCTATAAGCATATATGTGCAAGTAGCTTTTTCGTATAATGACCTCTTTTCCTCTGGGTAGATATGCAGGAGTGAGATTGCTAGATCAAATGGTAGATGTGCTTTTAGTTCTTTAACGAATGTCCACTCTGTTTTCCATAGTGGTTGTACTAGTTTACATTGTCACCAAAAGTGTAAAAGTGTTCCCTTTTCATAACATCCACACCGACATCTACTCTTTTTTGACTTTTTGATCAAGGCCATTCTTGCAGGAGTAAGATGGCATTGCATTATGGTTTTGATTTGCATTTCCCTAATCACTAGTGATGTTGAGCATTTTTTCATATGTTGTTGGCCATTTATATATCTTCTTTTGAGAATTGTCTATTCATGTCCTTAGCCCAGTTTCTGATGGGATTGTTTGTTTGTTTTTTTCTTTTTCACTGATTTGTTTGAGTTTCTTGTAGATGCTGGATATTAGTCCTTTGTCAGATGTATAGACGTGAAGATCTTCTCCTACTCTGTAGCTTGTCTGTTTATTCTGTTAATTATTTCTTTTGCTGTGCAGAAGTTTTTTAGTTTAATTACTTCCCATCTATTTATCTTTGTTTTGTTGCATTTGCTTTCGGGTTCTTGGTAATGAAGTATTTGCCTAAGCCAATGTCTAGAAGGGTTTTTCCAATGTTATCTTGTAGAATTGTTATGGCTTTAGGTCTTAGATTTAAGTCTTTGATCCATCTTGAGTTGATTTTTGTATAAGGTGAGAGATGAGGATCCAGTTTTATTCTTCTACATGTGGCTTGTCAATTATTCCTGCACCATTTGTTGAATAGAGTGTTGACATGGTTTGGCTCTTTGTACCCACCCAAGTATCATCTTGAATTGTACTCTCATAATTTCTACATGTGGTGGGAGGGACCTGGTGGGAGATAATTAAATCATGGGCCTAATTTCTCCCATACTGTTCTGGTGGTAGTGAATAAGTCTTACAAGATTTGATGGTTTGATAAGGAAAACCCCGTTTCATTTTCTCTCTTGCTGCCACCATGTAAGAAGTGCCTTTTGCCTTCCACCATGATTGTGAGGCCTCCCTAGCCACGTGGAACTGTAAGTTCAATAAACTTCTTTCTTTTGTAAATTGCTCAGTCTCAGGTATGTCTTTATCAGCAGCATGAAAACAGACTAATACAAAAAAATTGGTACAAGTTGAGTAGGGTACTGCTAAAAAGATACCCAAAAATTTGGAAGCTACTTTGGAAGTGGGTAATAGGGAGGGGTTGGAACAGTTTGGAGGACTCAGAAGAAGACAGGAAAATGTGGGAAAGTGTGGAACTCCGTAGAGACTTGTTGAATGGCTTTAATCAAAATGCTGATAATGATATGGACAATGAAATCGAGGCTGAGATGGTCTCAGAAGGAAATGAGGAGCTTATTGGGAACTGGAGTAAAAGGGACTCTTGTTATGTTTTAGCAAAGACATTTATAAAAGACATAGCAGGTGGCATTTTGTCCCTGCCCTAGAGATTTATGGAGCTTTGAACTTGAGATAAATTTAGGGTATCTGGCAGAAAAAATTTCTAAGCAGCAAAGCATTCAAGAGGTGACTTGGGTGCTGTTAAAGGCATTCAGTTTTATAAGGGAAGCAGAGCATAAAGGTTTGAAAAATTTGCAGCCTGACAATGTGATAGAAAAGAAAATCCCATTTTCTGAAGCAAAATTCAAGCTGGCTGCAGAAATTAGCATAAGCAATGAGGAGCCAAATGTTTATCCATAAGACAATGGGAAAAATGTCTCCCCAGGGCATGTCAGATGTCTTCATGGCAGCCCCTCCCATCACAGGCTTGGAGACCTAGGAGGAAAAAATGGTTTCATGGGTCAGGCCCAGTGTCCCCATGCTTTGTGCAGCCTAAAGACTTGGTGCCCTGCATCCAAGCCTATGTAGCCATGGCTGAAAGGGGCCAATGTAGATCTTGGGCCATGGCTTCAGAGGGTGCAAGCCCCAAGCCTTGGCAACTCCCACGTGGTATTGAGCCTGTGAGTGCACAGAAATCAGGAATTGGGGTTTGGGAGCCTCTGCCTAGATTTCAGAAGACGTATGGAAATGCCTTGATGCCCAGGCAGAAGTTTGCTGCAGGGGTGGGGCCTCATGGAGAAACTCTGCTAGCACAGTGCAGAAGGGAAATGTGGGGTCGGAGCCCCCACACAGAGTCCCTACTGGGGCACTACCTAGTAGAGTTATGAGAAGAGGGCCACCATCCTCCAGGCCCCAGAATGGTAGACCCACTGACAGCTTGCACCGTGCACCTGGAAAAGCCACAGACACTCAATGCCAGCCTGTGAAAGCAGCCAGGAGGGAGTCTGTGCCCTGCAAAGCCACAGGGGCAGAGGTGTCCAAGACCATGGGAACCCACCTCTTGCATCAATGTGACCTGGATGTGATACATGGAGTCAAAGGAGATCATTTTGGAGCTTTAAGATTTGACCAAATCAAATCAGTAGCTCTCTTATACACCAACAGCTACCAAGTTGAGAATCAAATCAAGAACTCAACCCCTTTTACAATAGCTACAGAAAAATTTCAAATACTTAGGAATATACTTAACAAAGGAAGTGAAAGACTTCTACAAGAAAAACTACAAAACACTGCTGAAAGAAATCATAGATGGCACAAACAAATCGAAACATATCCCATGCTCATGGATGGGTAGAATCAATGTTGTGAAAATGAGCATACTGCCAAAAGCAATTTACAAATTCAGTCCAATTCCCATCAAAATACCACCATCATTCTTCACAGAACTAAAAAAAAAAAAAATCACAAAATATGTATGGAACCAAAAAAGAGCCCTCATAGCCAAAGCAAGAGTCAGCAAACTGAACAGATCTGCAAGCATTACATTACCTGACTTCAAAGTATACTATAAGGCCATAGTCATCAAAACAGCATGGTACTGGTATAAAAACCAGCATATATATCAATGGAACATTGATCAACTTCTGCTTTACTGATTTGGATGCCCTTTATTTATTTCTCTTTTCTGATTGCTCTGGTAGGACTTCCAGTACTAGGTTGAATAGAAGTGGTGAAAATGGGCATCCTTGTCTTGTTGCAGTTTTCAGGGAGAATGCTTTCACATTTCCCCATTCGGTATAATGTTGGCTGTGGGTTTGTCATAGATAGCTTTTATTACCTAAGGTATGTCCCTTCTATGCTGAATTTGCTGAGAGCTTGAATCGTAAAGGGATGCTGGATTTTCTCATATGCTTTTTCTCTGTCTATTGAAATGATCGTGTGATTTTTGTTTTTAATTCTGTTTATGTGGTGTATCAGATTTATTGACTTATTTATCTAAACCATCCCTGCATCCCTGGTGTGAACACACTTGACCATGGTGGATTTTCTTCTTGATATGCTGTTGGATTCAGTTAGCTAGTATTTTCTTGAAGATTTTTGCATCTATGTTCATCACGGATATTGGTCTGTAGTTTTTTTTTTATGTCCTTTCCTGGTTTTGGTATTAGGGTGATACTGTCTTCATAGAATGATTTAGGGATGATTCCCTCTTTCTCTTCTTTTTCATCCTTTGGGTTTTTTTTTTTTTTTGATGTATAGAAATTTTAAAGTTTGGTGTAGTCTCATTTGTTTATTTTTGCTTTTATTGTCTGGGCATTTTGTGTCATGTCCAATAAATTATTGCCAAACCCAATGTCAGGAAGTTTTCTCCTGTTTTTTTTTCTAAGTTTTACAGTTTTGGATCTTATATTTAGGTCTTTAATCCATTTTGATTTAGTTTTTGTATGTGGTATTAGTAAAGGGCTCAACTTCATTCTTTTCATGTGCATATATAATTTTCTTAATACCATTTGTTGAAGAGACTGTCTTTTCCCCATTGTGTGGTCTTAGCACCTCTGTCAAGGATTAATTGACCACATATGAGTGGGTTTATTTCTTGGCTGTCTCTTCTGTTCTATTAGTCTATGTGTCTGCCTTTATGCCAGTACCACATTGTTTTGATTACTGTCACTTTGCAATATATTTTGAAATCAGGAAGTGTGAGACCTCCTAATTTGTTATTTTTCAAGAATGTTTTGGCAATTCAGGGACCCCTGACATTCTATATACATTTTAGATTTTTTTCTGTAAAAAATGTCATTGAGATCTTGACAGGGATTGTGTTGAATCTGTAGTTCACTTTGGGTAGGATAGAGTGAAATATTATTTTAAAGATGTTTACATTACTTAGTAATAAATGATGTACATTGTTGGTAAGATGAAATACTGTTATACATGTTATTTTCTTCATTTCACAGATTGTTTTAGTCTGTTTTCTGTTGCTATAACAGAATTCCTGAGACTAAGTAATTTATAAGTAAAAGAAATTTGTTTCTCACAGTTCTTGAGGCTGGGAAGGTCAAGATTAGGGCACAGGAATCTGACAAGGATTATCCCATGGCAGAAGGGTAGGCTAGAGAGAACAAGAGCATGTGAGAGTCAGAGAGAAAATGAGGGCCAAACTTCCACCATAATTAATCTACTCCCTCAAGTAATCTATTCATTAGGGTGAAACCCTTATGACTTAATCCCCTCTTTTTTTTTTTTTTTTTTTTTTTTTGAGTCAGAGTTTTGCTCTTGTTGCCCAGGCTGGAGTGCAATGGCATGATCTTGGCTCACCACAACCTCTGCCTCATGGATTCAAGTGATTCTCCTGCCTCAGCCTCCTGAGTAGCTGAAATTACAGGCATGTGCCACCACACCCGGCTAATTTTGTATTTTTAGTAGAGACAGGGTTTCTCCATGTTGGTCAGGCTGGTCTCGAACTCCCAACCTCAGGTGATCCGCCCATCCTGGCCTCCCAAACTGCTGGGATTACAGCCGTGAGCCACCACGCCTGGCTGACTTAATCACTTCTTAAAACACTCCCCCAATACCACTACATTGGCAAGTAAACATGAACATGTGTTTCGGCAGGGACATTTAAATCATAGCACAGAAACATAGTCTGAAAGGAGAGAGGTAGATTTGACTACATTTTAGGCAGTGAGAAATAAATATGGTCTACTACTTTTTCAGAGAACTAGATGATAATACTCCAATATTCTCTCTTTCCAGTTTTTCCAATAGGCCATAAGGAATTATTAATGATTCTGCTCTGTGTCTTCATAAAGAACATAAGGAGGCAACATATTCATATCTAAGTCAGAAGACTGTACCCACAAATAGGCTAGCTTTCAGCCTGTTTGTGTGAACTATCATAAGATCCCTTTTACACTAACCACAAGTCACTCTAGTAGTATTATCCCAGGAGACTATTGCCTGACTTAGAAGTGATCATATTGAGTATTTGATGCTTGAACTGATATAGAGATGAAGCAGAGACTGAAAAAATACAACTTGATATTTTATTAAAGTGTTTATTTGATTTCATATTCTGTAAATGCATAAAATAAGGACACTCAGAGGTTATAGTACTCACCCAAGATCATGTTGAAAATGGGGAGCCCTGCTTTGAATACAATTTGAAGTTCCCAAGCCTCTCAAATAAACAGCAGCCATCAATCCCCTAAAAATATATTTTCTGACTATAACAAAATATTTTCTCTACAAAGTGCCCACTAGAAAGATTCCCTGAAGATACTGAGGCTGAATCTACTTGATACCAAAATAACCAATCGATTGTCAGTAAACTGAAAAGAATCTGTCAAACTTGTTGGCTGTATGACTTAATTGATCTATCAGCTTAGGCAAGGCAACCAATCTGATAGAACCATGTACTTGCCACCTTTAAAAGGGCCAGCAAGATGATGGTGAGTGATTGATCACTGTTCCATCTTCGGAAGCCTGAAGTCTTAAATCCTATTCACCTCAAGCATTGGTCAAGGTTCAATTTATGAAATAAAAGGCATCATACTGTCCTTCTCCATAATCAGTTTTCCTAACTGCATTCACTACATGGGAGCACCACAGCGATACAGGTGCATTCATGCTTCTTCTGGAGAGCTCATAAACATTTAAAGGGTCTTCCTAAAACCCTCTCTGGGTTTTCACTTCATGGGTTTGTAAAATTTCTACTTGCACTTAAGGTAGGTGTGAAAGTTAGACACATTTCCAGGATGACTTTCAGCCTGACCTTTAGTGCAAAGTCAGTCCCACTTTCTGAGACGAACTTAGAAAATTGCATTTTCTTTGAAAATAAGGTTGAGATATGGGTGGTGTGTAAAAGCTTAGAGAAAGTCCACACAAGGCAATTCCACATGCCTAGACTTCTGATACTGGTGTTTGAACGAACAATCTTCTGCTAAGTTAAGGTGAAAAACACAACCACCCATCACAGCCCTAGCTCTCTCATTGCTGACTACTCTCTTTGTGAAGAGAGCTTGTGGCTCTATTTTTATTTCTGTTCTTTCATGATGACTGTATGGTTTACAAAGTTTGTATTACTGTGCTAAACTGCAAAACTTGGTTTGGATTTCCATTGGCTGCAACTCATCTCGATTACTCTGTGGCTCAGTTTGCTTTTTTCCTCATCTCTTGCACCTCCTCTGGCTTTATCCTCTTGCTTATTTAACTACTAATTTCATTGTCAACTTGCACCTCCTCTGGCTTTATCCTCTTGCTTATTTAATTACTAATTTCATTGTCAACCTGGACTATTTGCAATGGTCTGGACAGGAAGTGTGGGTATCACCAATCCATTTTATTGCTCTTTAACCTTATATGCATTTGAGAGAGGCAGCAACTGAAGTTTATAAAATTTCTTTGGGTTTAGGAACTCACTGAAAATTCTATTTATTGATTGATTATTTTCTTGGCTTCCCTTTTTACCTCCCACCTTCAACATATATTATCTTCTAGAACTAGTGGCTCCAACAGGCATACTACCTTGTTTATCAAATTCAAGCTGGTTGCTGCCATTATGACACTATTCTATGATGTATAGTAGAGCTTCTCAGCTGGTGGGAATGGGTTTCAGATGTGCTGAGCTACTGATTTTTCCTCAGTCCATAGGGTGGCCAGTTGGGGCCTGGAGTAATGGATGCCTTGGGGCAGACTTACCTCTGATTCCTCACAGCCTTGTCTGTTTACTCCAGTATGCTATACAGAGTATTATTTTCTATAGGTACCGTGATGTGGAATACCTTACCAAGCATTGCCTACTGCAAATAAATTGTCAGAAATAAGAGGATTGCTCTCAGGGATTTGCACTGTCAGTAACCTGCTCAATCCATTCAACCGTCATAATAGTTGAGGAAGTCAATACTAGTCCTTAATAGGCAGAGGATGGAGCCACTGCTATGTAGAATGACAACTGAGCTGGGCACAAAGCTGTGCTATAATTTTTCATTTCCAGGAGCATATTAAGAAGGTGAGTTAGCTTACATGCCAGACAACCTATGGGGAGGCATGTAAGGCATGTGGGAGCTTTTAAACACATCTTTCACTCCCTACTACCTATGATATAAAACAGCCTAAGACTGTGAGGGGCACATTGACTTACCTTTTCGTTTGTTATTAGTATTTTTTTAAAATTTTACAGATACATAGTAGTTGTGTATATTTATATATGAGATGTTGGGCACACTGATTTGTATTAAGGTGGTGCTGCCTCCGTGACTCCAGCAAGTCCATGACCCCAAACTGGGTTAGATTTAATGAGATATAAATTTGCCACAACTGGGCTGGGCGCAGTGGATCACACCTGTAATCCCAGCACTTTGGGAGGCTGAGGTGGGCAGATCACGAGGTCAGGAGATCGAGACCATCCTGGCTAACATGGTGAAACCCCATCTCTACTAAAAATACAAAAAATTAGCTGGGCATGGTGGTGGGCACCTGTAGTCCCAGCTACTCGGGAGGCTGAGGCAGGAGAATGGCTTGAACCCAGGAGACAGAGTTTGCAGTGAGCCGAGATTGCATCACTGCACTCCAGCCTGGGCGACAGAGTGAGACTCCATCTCAAAAAAAAAAAAAATTGCCACAACTTACCTACCTCTTTTTGAACTAAACTCTACCAGCAATTTGTAAAGCATCTTCTCTGTGTACAGTGCAGCCTGATGCTATGGGAAATAAATACATAAATAGGACATAATCTCTCTCTTTAGGGTACTTTTGATTATGTCAGGAGATAAAGACAAAGACAGCAACTGTTATGATATTAAGCAGAATAAGAGAAATAACATGGAAATAACATAGAAAAGTTGGAAAACATGGAAAGAATTGAGAGGCTTCATGGAAAAGATAGTGATTAAGACAAACTTTGAAAGATTAACAGAATTCTAATTGGCAGAGATAGAAAGTAAAGGTAATGATGCTTTCCAAAGAAAAGGAATGGCACAGGCAAATAATGAAAGCATAAGCAACATTAAGAAATGAATTTTAGCGGAGAGATCATTCCAAGATGGCCGAATAGGAACAGCTCCAGTCTACAGCTCCCAGTGTGAGCAATGCAGAAGACAGGTGATTCTGCATTTCCAACTGAGGTACCAGTTTCATCTCACTGGGACTTGTTGGACAATGAGTGCAGCCCATGGAGTGTGAGCCGAACCAGGGTGTGGCATCACCTCACCTGGGAAGCACAAGGGGTGGGGGAATTCCCTTTCCTAGCCAAGGGAAGCCATGACAGATGGTACCTGGAAACTCGGGACACTCCCACCCTAATACTGTGCTTTTCCAATGGTCTTAGCAAACAGCATACCAGGAGATTATATCCCACGCCTGGTTCAGTGGGTCCCACACCCACGGAGCCTTGCTCACTGCTAGCACAGCAGTCCGAGATCAAACTGCGAGGCGGCAGCAAGGCTAGGGGAGGGACGTCCGCCATTGCTGAGTCTTGACTAGGTAAACAAAGTGGCCAGGAAGCTCCAACTGGGTGGAGCCCACCGCAGCTCAATAAGGCCTGCCTGCCACTGTAGACTCTACCTCAGGGGGCAGGGCATAGTTGAACAAAAGGCAGCAGAAACTTCTGCAGACTTAAACATCCCTGTCTGACAGCTCTGAAGAGAGCTATGGTTCTCCCAGCACGGTGTTTGAGCTCTGAGAATGGACAGACTGCCTCCTCAAGTGGGTCCCTGACCCCTGTGTAGCCTAACTGGGAGACACCTCCCAGTAGGGGCCAACTGACACCTCATAATGCCAGGTGCGCCTCTGAGATGAAGCTTCCAGAGGAAGGATCAGGCAGCAATATTTGCTGTTCTGCAATATTTGCTGTTCTGCAATATTTGCTGTTCTGCAGCCTCTGCTGGTGATACCCAGGCAAACAGGGTCTGGAGTGGACCTCTAGCAAACTCCAACAGACCTGCAGCTGAGGGACCTGACTGTTAGAAGGAAAATTAACAAATAGAAAGGAACAGCATCAACATCAACAAAAAGGACATCCACACCAAAACCCCATCTGTAGGTCACCATCATCAAGGACCAAACGGAGATAAAACCACAAAGATAGGGAGAAACCAGAGCAGAAGAGTGGAAAATTCTAAAAACCAGAGTGCCTCCTCTCCTCCAAAGGATCGCACCTCCTTGCCAGCAAAGGAACAAAGCTGGACAGAGAGTAACTTTGACTAGTTGACAGAAGTAGGCTTCAGAAGATCCATAATAACAAACTTCTCTGAGCTAAAGGAGGATATTCGAACCCATCGCAAGGAAGCTAAAAACCTTGAAAAAAGATTAGACGAATGGCTAACTAGAATAAACAGTGTTGAGAAGACCTTAAATGACCTGATGGAGCTGAAAACCATGGCACAAGAACTTCGTGACACATGCACAAGCCTCAGTAGCCGATTTGATCAAGTGGAAGAAAGGGCATCAGTGATTGAAGATCAGATGAATGAAATGAAGAGAGAAGAGAAGTTTAGAGAAAAAAGGGTAAAAAGAAATGAACAAAGCCTCCAAGACATATGGGACTATGTGAAAAGACCAAGTCTACGTCTGATTGGTGTACCTGAAAGTAACGGGGATAATGGAACCAAGCTGGAAAACACTCTGCAGGATATTATCCAGGAGAACTTCCCCAACCTAGCAAGGCAGGCCAACATTCAAATTCCAGAAATACAGAGAACACCACAAAGATACTCCTTGAGAAGAGCAACCCCAAGACACATAATTGTCAGATTCACCAAGGTTGAAATGAAGGAAAAAATGTTAAGGGCCGCCAAAGAGAAAGGTCAGGTTACCCACAAAGGGAAGCCCACCAGACTAACAGCTGATCTCTCGGCAGAAACTCTACAAGCCAGAAGAGAGTGGGGGCCAATATTCAACATTCTTAAAGAAAAGAATTTTTAATCCAGAATCTCATATCCAGCCAAACTACGCTTCATAAGTGAAGGAAAAATAAACTCCTTTACAGACAAGCAAATGCTAAGAGACTTTGTCACCACCAGGCCTGCCTTATAAGAGCTCCTGAAGGAAGCACTAAACATGGAAAGGAACAACCAGTACCAGCCACTGCAAAAACATGCCAAATTGTAAAGACCATTGATGCTAGGAAGAAACTGCATCAACTAACGGGCTAAATAACCAGCTAACATCATAATGACAGGATCAAATTCACACATAACAATATTAATCTTAAATATAAATGGGCTAAATGCCCCAATTAAAAGACATAGACTGACAAATTGGATAAAGAGTCAAGACTCTTCATTGTGCTGTATTCAGGAAACCCATCTCATGTGCAGAGACGCAAATAGGCTCAAAACAAATGGATGGAGGAAGATCTACCAAGCAAATGGAAAGCAAAAAAAAAAAAAAAAAAAAAAAAAAGCAGGGGTTGCAATCCTAGTCTCTGATAAAACTGGCTTTACACCAACAAAGATCAAAAGAGACAAAAAGGCCATTACATTATGGTAAAGGGATCAATTCAACAAGAAGGCCTAACTATCCTAAATATATATGCAACCAATACAGGAGCAAACAGATTCATAAAGCAAGTCCTTAGAGACCCACAAAGAGACTTAGACTCCCAGAAAATAATATTGGGAGACTTTAACACCACACTGTCCATATTAGACAGATCAACGAGACAGAAGGTTAACAAGGATCTCCAGGATTTGAACTCAGCTCTGCACCAAGCAGACCTAATAGACATCTACAGAACTCTCCACCCCAAATCAACAGAATATACATTCTCCTGAGCACCACATCGCACTTATTCCAAAATTGACCACATAGTGGGAAGTAAAGCACTCCTCAGCAAATGTAAAAGAACAGAAATCACAACAAACTGTCTCTCAGACCACAGTGCAATCATATTAGAACTCAGGATTAAGAAACTCACTCAAAACCACACAACTACAAGGAAACTGAACAACATGCTCCTGAATGACTACTGGGTAAATAATGAAATGAAAGCAGAAATAAAGATGTTCTTTGAAACCAATGAGAACAAAGACACAATGTACCAGAATCTCTGGGACACAGCTAAAGCAGTGTGTAGAGGGAAATTTATAGCATGAAATATCCACAAGAGAAAGCAGGAAAGATCTAAAATCGACACTCTAACAACACAATTAAAAGAACTAGAGAAGCAAGAGCAAGAAAATCCAAAAGCTAGCAGAAGGCAAAAAAATAACTAAGATCAAAGCAGAACTGAAGGAGATAGAGACACAAAAAACCCTTCAAAAAATCAACGAATCCAGGAGCTGGTTTTTCAAAAACATCAGCAAAATCGATAGACTGCTAGCAAGACTAATAAAGAAGAAAAGAGAGAAGAATCAAATAGATGCCATGAAAAATAATAAAGGGGATATCACCACTGATCTCACAGAAATACAAACTACCGTCAGAGAATACTACAAATACCTCTATGAAAATAAACTATAAAATCTAGAAGAAATGGATAAATTTCTGGACACATACACTCTCCCAAGACTAAACCAGGAAGAAGTTGAATCTCTGAATAGACCAATAACAGGCTCTGAAATTGAGGCAATAATTGATAGCCTACCAACCAAAAAAAGTCCAGGACCAGATGGATTCACAGCCAAATTCTATCAGAGGTACAAAGAGGAGCTGGTACCATTCTTTCTGAAACTATTCCAATCAATAGGAAAAGAAAGAATACTCCCTAACTCATTTTATGAGGCCAGCATCATCCTGATACCAAAGCCTGGCAGAGACACAACAAAAAAAGAGAATTTTAGACCAATATCCCTGATGAACATTGATGCAAAAATCCTCAGTAAAATACTGGCAAACCAAATCCAGCAGCACATCAAAAAGCTTATCCACCACAAATAAGTTGGCTTCATTCCAGGGATGCAAGGCTGGTTCAACATATGCAAATCAAAAAATGTAATCCATCATATAAACAGAACCAAGACAAAAACCACATGATACTAGATGCAGAAAAGGCCTTCGAGAAAATTCAACAGCCTTTCATGCTATAAACTCTCAATAAACTAGTTATTGATGGGACATATCTCAAAATAATAAGAGCTATTTATGACAAACCCACAGCCAGTATCATACTGAATGGGCAAAAACTGGAAGCATTCCCTTTGAAAACTGGCACAAGACAGGGATGCCCTCTCTCACCACTCCTATTCAACATAGTGTTGGGAGTTCTGGCCAGGGCAATCAGGCAGGAGAAAGAAATAAAGGGTATTCAATTAGGAAAAGAGAAAGTCAAATTGTTCCTATTTGCAGATGACATGATTTTATATTTAGAAAACCCCACTGTCTCACCCCAAATCTCCTTAAGCTGATAAGCAACTTCAGCAAAGTCTCAGGATACAAAATCAATGTGCAAAAATCATAAGCATTCCTATACAGCAAGAAAAGACAGAGAGCCAAATCATGAGTGAACTCCCATTCACAATTGCTTCAAAGAGAATAAAATACCTAGGAATCCAACTTACAAGGGACATGAAGGACCTCTTCAAGGAGAACTACAAACCACTGCTCAATGAGATAAAAGAGGACACAAACATATGGAAGAACATTCCATGCTCATGGATAGGAAGAATCAATATTGTGAAAATAGCCATACTGCCCAAGGTAATTTATAGATTTAATGCCATCCCCATCAAGCTACCAATGACTTCCTTCACAGAATTGGAAAAAACTACTTTAAAGTTCATATGGAACCAAAAAAGAGCCCATATTGCCAAGTCAATCCTAAGCCAAAAGAACAAAGCTGGAGGCATCACCCTACCTGACCTCAACCTATACTACAAGGCTACAGTAACCAAAACAGCATGGTATTGGTACCAAAACAGAGATATAGACCAATGGAACAGAACAGAGCCCTCAGAAATAATACCACACATCTACAACCATCTGATCTTTGACAAACCTGACAAAAACAAGCAATGGGGAAATGATTCCCTATTTAATAAATGGTGCTGGGAAAACTGGCTATCCATATGTAGAAGGCTGAAACTGGATCCCTTCCTTACACCTTATAAAAAAATTAATTCAAGATGGATTAAGGACTTAAATGTTAGACCTAAAACCATAAAAACCCTAGAAGAAAACCTAGGCAATACCATTGAGGACATAGGCATGGGCAAGGACTTCATGACTAAAACACCAAAAGCAATGAAAACAAAAGCCAAAATAGAGAAATGGGATCTAATTAAACTAAAGAGCTTCTGCACAGCAAAAGAAACTACAATCAGAGTGAGCAGGCAACCTACAGAATGGGAGAAAATTTTTGCAATCTACCTATCTGACAAAGGGCTATATCCAGAATCTACAAAGAACTTAAACAAATTTACTAGAAACAACAGGTGCTGGAGAGGATGTGGAGAGATAGGAATGCTTTTACACTGTTGGTGGGAGTGTACACTAGTTCAACCATTGTGGAAGACAGTGTGGTGATTCCTCAGGGATCTAGAACTAGAAATACCATTTGACCCAGCAACCCCATTACTGGGTATATACCCAAAGGATTATAAATCATGGTACTATAAAGACACATGCACACGTATGTTTATTGCGGCACTATTCACAATAGCCCAGACTTGGAACCAACCCAAATGTCCATCAATGATAGACTGGATTAAGAAAATGTGGCACATATACACCATGGAATACTATGCAGCCATAAAAAAGGATGAGTTCATGTCCTTTGACGGAACATGGATGAAGCTGGAAACCATCATTCTGAGCAAACTATCGCAAGGACAGAAAACCAAACACCACATGTTCTCACTCATAGGTGGGAATTGAACAATGAAAACACTTGGACACAGGGTGGGGAACATCACACACCAGGGCCTGTCGTGGGGTTGGGGGAGGGGGTGGGATAGCATTAGGAGGAATACCTATTGTAAATGATGAGTTAATGGGTGCAGCACACCAACATGTCACATGTATACATATGTAACAAACCTGCATGTCATGCACATGTGCCCTAGAACTTAATGTATAATAATAATAATAAAAAGAAATGAATTTTAGCTAAATAGAAACTTCATGTGAGGAAGAAGTTGGAGGCAAGACTGGATTGTTAGTATTAACTTTATATGGAAAATATTTCGTGAGATAAAATACCATAGAAATTAGTAAATGAAGTGAACATTTAGTATATTTAATTTCACAGGATTTTTTTTCTTTGCCTTAACTGCATACTTTACTTGCAGCAATGTAATGACCCTCAGATGAACATTCACCCAGCTAGCAAACTTTGTGAATCCAGCCTTTAACAGATTACCTTCCACCTCCACCTCTGTCCCAAGAGCTGCACTTTTCAGGAGCTTCAATTCAATTAGCTGGTTAATGTCAGTGGTCGACATTCTTAGTGGCAATGCTAAAGTTTTAATGATATAAAGGCTTTAGCAGGAATTAGTGAAAACACATGACAGAATAAGCTATAAGTGGATAAAGGGAAAGAGAATCTTCTAAAGTTAGTAAGGGGCCACAAAAATAGGTTTTCAAATTTCTCGGTTTTGCCATAATTAACTCAAATTAATACTGGTAAATGTTATGAAGACCCATAAAGTTCAATGTGTTATTTATCAATTAGTTATTTTTAAGTTTTAAATGAACCCTCTAAATAGAACATTAGTGATGGAAGTGAGTTTTTAAGATCACCCAGTCCAGTAATTACCAAATGCCAGACTTGTCCTGGTCTATGAGAATTTTCCACAAAAAAAATAAGGATATATTGAATTGTTCATAAAGCTGAATTTAATTAATTGAAATACTTATTTTTCCTATAGTTATATATTTTTAAATTATCTGTTAAATATATTTATGTACTGAATTAATAATAATGGTAGTAATATCAATAACATAAATGAAATATTCACTATGTGTCAGGAACTATTCTAAACACTTCACATATATTAACTCATTTAATCCTCACAACAAATCTGTCAGGTAAGTACCATTTTATCTTCAGTTAACATATGACGGTAATAGCAGATGGTATGGTATTTTTTAAAGTATCTTTTAAAGTGTCATTATTGCTAAGATAAAAATCAGGCAACCCCCTATTGCCCCCCTCCACCTTTTCATTAGGTCTGAAAAATACTAATAGAGAGAAAACCAATTATTTTTAAATTGAGGAAACTGAATCCCAGAAAGGGGAAGTAAATTGTCCAAGAACACATAGCCAACCAATAGTAGACGCTAGAACTAGGACTCAAACATTCTTTTATCTAGACTAGCTTTTTCTCCTGATACTCTATGCTGCCTTGCAAGTAAATTTGTCAACTTTGTTCATAAGCATGTTTAAAATGTTAACATTTGACTTTTTCCTACTGCACAGCTCTGAGATGCTTGTCTCTTCCTCTTATAACAGTTAATTTAAATTCAGGCATGTAAGTAAAATGTCATAATGGAACCCTTTGGACTCTCAGTCAATTGTCATCTCCCTATGAGTGAATTAAGAACTTCTCATTCTTTCTGCCTCCCTTAACACACAGCTGATCAATGGGTATTTCTAATCATGTTGTTATCCAAATTGTATACCTGTCATCACTCAGATTGTGAAAATGCTCTGTTCTTGAGCCAAAATAGCACATCTACCTTTGGAATTCCCTACTACAAAAAGGACTCTTCCTGGGGTCTGACCTTCAGAGAACTGTGTAGGAAATATATTTTTCATTCAGCTTCTGCCTGAGCCTTGTAAGTTGAGACACTTATTTGAGAGTACTCTGTCTTTGGCTTTCTAACCACCTACATACTTTACATATACACTCCTGCATTATTTCTGATTTGGGGGGAAAGTCAGGACAACCTTGTCATCAGTTTGACTTTGACCCACCTGCTTCCTAAAAATGCTTGTCTGAGTTATATTTATTTCCTATAGTTAATAATTAAAGATAATTTCCCTTTGCAGAATGTCATACTGTCCCTGGAGAAAATTTGCCTCCCCAGGGCTGAGAAGCCCAACTCTGTCATTGAACCTATTACAGGAACTGTATAAAGGAATGAGTAACATATTGACTATGGTGCTGTTTATTTGAAGTGGCTTTCAATTTCTAATTTGCCATCTCAAATACTGTTTTGTAGCCAAGATATAAAGCAGAAAATTATATTCTTATGATAACAGTTGAATTATGAAGACATTCCCTGGCTCAGAATGGCTAGAAGAGTCTACAAAGCAGCTACATAAGATAAAGATTACCTTGTTAGTATTCTCGTTATTTAATTTTCAGATGGTATCCATCCATAAAGACAGCTAATTAGCAGCATCCAGACTGGGGTGGGAATGAGCAAGATAGATAATAAATGATTGAGGAGAGGCTATTTCAGCAATCCTAGGGGAAGTAGCAAGGAGGTATGTGTGTTGGAAGGATGGTGATAATTCAAGTAAAACTCAAATTAGTAACTTTCTTCTCAGTGAAACGACCACATATTAGCAACTCAGCTTTAGATATTTATGCTCTGCATTATTAACTTATTAGACTATATCTATGGAGTACACAGTAGGAAGCTGTTTAGGGCATCTTCGCTATTATTACTATTCAAGTGGTGCTCTATTATACCAGGCCAACCTTACCCATAGGGTGAAATATATGGCAAGCTCCATGTGGTGATGTGAAGAGCAATCAGACACATTCCGTCCCCAAAATGTAACCCCTTTCCTAGTTTGCTACTTCTTTTGATAAAGGATTAAAGGGCATTATTAGAATATAAAGGTTATCTGAGAGGGGAACATATTACACAGTCATCAGTCTCAACCAAGTCATCTAGTTCTTCTTTTAGAAGGTCCTGAGAAAATGGGACAGAGGACAGGCAACTGTTAGTGGTGGGAGAGGAAGGAGCAGATAGTAGTGGTAAGTAGGAAGAGAGAACTGAAATCAAGTGTATCACTCTCTAGGCCTTTTTGCCAATGGGGAAGAACTGAAATAGGGAACATGGAGACAACGTGCCAAAAATAAGAAAGGTAACAGGCAACTATAATCTTGACTTCTTTCACTATATTTATTTGGACACAACAATTTTGAGGATACATATATGCATATCACTCTAGAAGTCAAGACTTCCTGATGCTCTGGTTGTGATTCTAATTCATAACAGCAGCTGCTCCTAAATGTGAGAGTTACAGAGGTAGCTGCTTTCTTTTAATGACTCATTAACCATGGAAGACAGTGTTTCTTTTGCTGAAAAGCCACAAAGTCTTGCTTCCATCCTCATCATTTCTTTGTGCTTTGTGCTTTTATCATTGTTATTCATGGCCAGTCTGGTTACTTGGGTTCAAATTTAAATGAATTTAACCTTGGCTTTGTGCATGACAGGGGGTATTTCTGCTGCAATGGGAATCATAAGATTTACTGGCAAACTGCTTAGATTTACAAAGGGATCTCTAGATCTCCCTTTGACCCTGCAGATCTAGTGAGCAGTGAGGTGAGAAGACTTCTAAGTCCCCACTGCCTCCCTCTCATAATTGCTTATGCTACATGAATAGATCTTTTCTACATCAACACAGATGAGAGAGTGATATATTGAGAAAAATAGGAAATTTTTGTTTGTTTGTTTGTTTGTTTAGCAAGGAACAAATTCTCAGATATATGCCTTCAGAATGGATACAATCAGTTAGTTGTGTAAGGAGTAGAAAGAATTCATCCGTAACCTCCAACCTAACTCCCTCATTCTCCTTCATAAGTGCCCTGGCCTGGCTTCATGCTTTCTGGGGACATTACTCTTTCAGCAAATGCATTTTTAATTATCTTTTAATTTTTTAAGAGACAAGATCTTGCTATGTTGCTCAGGCTAGAGTGTAGAGGATATTTACAAGCATGATCATAGCCCACTGCAGCCTCGAACTCCTGGACTCAAGTGATTTCTTCACCCATGTCAACCTGGCATGGGTAGCTGGCAGTAAAGGCATGCCACTGTGCACAGCTGCATTTCTAGAATTTATAAGTCATTTGTTCAAAAAGGAAAGCATTTGATTCTGAGGGAAGGGTGTGTAGGATGGTTATGAAGACTTACCTGAAGAGATACAATGACAAGATAATTTGGCTTTTCTGTTGACTGTTTTGTTTCAGATTAAAGAATGATTCATCAGCCAATTATAGGCAGAAGAAAGGAGCCCATGAGTGGGTTTATTAGAATAGAACTTTAGTCCCATCAAAGTTAGCTAATAAATAGCTGGCTACTTGCTGGCTGTCACAGAGTGCCTTGAAACTGTGCCTCTACCCATCTTCAATGTAAAACTTTATAATGAATATAGGAGGGGCACAGGGAAAGGAGAGCAGAATTGCAGTACAACTAAATTCTAGGAAGATAGGAGTCTGAAGAAGCCAGTATGAAGATTCCTGTGTCTGCACAGTAATGTGCCTGACTGACATTACAATGCTTATTTAAAAGTTTCACAGTGTTAGAGTAGATAAAGCACTAAATTGGGAGACAAGAGCTCTGGGTTTTGGCCCTACTGCTGCTGCGAACTTCGTGAGGCCTTAGAAGAGCCTCTTCATTTTTTCCAGCACCAAAATGAGGTGGTTGGGTAAGATCTCTAAGGCATCTTTCAAATTGAGTGGTTTGTGGGAATGAGTCTGCAGTTTAATGAACAATAAAAATTTATAATAATCAAATTATAGCCCAATAATATGGCCTGTAACAAGATGTACAAATTTGCTCTATTGGGACATATGGGGAGGGGTGGTCTTTCATTTTTTTTTCTCCTCCAAGGTTTATTCATGCTATTCTCTTAGCTTTGTATGCCCGTTACCTCAAATTGTACTTGTCAAAATCCTACCATCCTTCAAATCCTAGCCTGAAAATTAATTTTTCAATGGCATTTTCCCTAACACTTCAAAGCAGGAACTAAACTTTTTTCGAGTGCCTATAACACACTATCTGCCTGTCTCTTACAACACTGATCACAGCTGTTCATCTTAGTTGGTTATGTCTTTTTTCCCTGTTACACTGAGACCTGAGTAGAGGTCTTTACTCATTTTAGGGTCTTCCACATCTTTTCATAGCTAGCATGTGAGATGGGTTCAATACATGATATACTGAATTTCCCCTAGCCAATATTAGGAAGCATTGTGAGAGCAAGTTAATAACAGAGCAAACACATCTGTTGTGTTGAAAAATATAAGCCAATATTTACATTTGTTTTTTACTTTTTTGACTTTGTATCTTACAGTTTCAAGCTTATAAAAAAGTTGCAAAAATTATACAACCAATTCTTAAATACTTTTTATCAAATTCTCCAATCATTATTAGCTTATGTAACCATGGTATGATTATCAAGAAGAGGAAATTAATGATATAATAGTAATATCTAATCTGCAGACCTTAAATTTCACCAGTGGTTCCACTAATAGGCTTTTTCTGATCCAGACAATAATTCAGGGTCATATGTTACATTTAGTGTCATATCTCCTTACTCTCCTTTAGACTAGAACAGCGTCTTAGTCTTTGTCACCGTGACACCTTTAAAGAGTACTGGCAGTTATTTTGTAGAATATTCCTCAACTTGGTTTGCTATAAGATTATGCATTTTGGTAGAAATACCCTAGAAATAAAAATGTGTGCTTTTCAGTGCATCATTTCAGAAAACATATAATGTCCATTTTTCCCATTACTAGTAGTATTAACTTTGATCATTGCGTTAAGGGATTCTACACTCTGAAGTCAGTATTTTTTCTCTTGACAATTAACTATTGGGGAAATAATTTGAGACTATGCAAATATCCTGATTTTCATAATACTTTTGTCCACTGATTTTAGCATACATGAATGATTCTTATCTGAAACAATTATTACTGTGGTGTTTGCCAAATAGTGATTTTCTATTTTCATCAATTTTTTCTACATTTACTACCTGCGTAGTATACTTTTTCTTTTTCTTTTTTTTAAGGATTTCAAAGAAGTTTATTAAGTTACCTGAAGTACAAAAAAGTAATTAAAATTAAATGTACTCATTTACCAGTAGATATAAACTTTCTCTTCTCTCTCGTGTATTTACCTAGTCAATAATTTTTTCATTTCAATATGGGCTCATGGATAATTATTTTATATATACAATGAGTTATAATCCAACATTTTCAGTATTTATTTTGTTTAAGCCAAATTTTAAAGAGTAATTTTTAATTCTAGTTTTATTCAGCTCTGTGTTTTCTGATTTATGAGCAGCCATGTGAAGCTCAAACACTTAATTGGAGGTTCTGTACTCAAAGAACAGGAGGCCTATTTTCCCTAAACAGCATCAAATCATGGAAACATTTAGCATAATACCATGAACCCAGTGAGAACTGAAGAAGTGTTTTTTTGTTATGGAATCAAGCGGCTCTGAAGCCGTGACAGAAAGAAAGCCCAAACTTCTGTTTACTACAAGTAATTTTCTCTGGGAACATATGTTCATGCATTATTCTGTTTGAAATTTTAGATATTGAGTACTGAATCAAGGTTTTTTTTTTCATTTAAAATTGTCTAGAGACATTGCTTACAGGAGTAAGTGTAAATAACGTCAGCATTGCTTCAAGATAAGATTCGAACACTGGTGTGTTATTGTGCTAAATTTAGCCTTGCATGAAGGCTACTTAATGCATTCATTTCAACTTAGATCTTGATTAAATACTATTAACTAGGACAGAAGAGAAAACAGAGTTTGGGTATGGGTCATGACAGCTCGTATTGGTAGGGACGGAGCTTAGAAACGGGAAGACTGCTGAAATAGAGTGCTATTTTCATGAGCCAGTTCTCTCCCTGTGACTCCAAAAGGAAGAAAATAACCAACAATTCCCATCAAAACAGTAAAATGAAGAAAACCATTCTTTAGATTAAACAAAGAGGAAGAAAATAGTTTCTTTCCTTTGTATTCTGACCTGACCTCAAAGCTGCAGACTTGAGAATCACACTTTACGTAACTAACGTTATTTACTATAAGCAAATATGGAATAAAAAGTTTGTCTATTTAGAGCCTAGTCCATAGGATCCTAATTACTTAAGAACTAGAATATGTTTATGATATAGTAGACTTAGAACTAGATCCAGGTTTTGTAGGTCCTGAAATTTGTAAAATATGGCATGCCATTTTTAATAAAAATAATATGAATGCTTTACTTTTGCACATTTTACACAAGCATGTATGTGTCCATGTGAAGACATTGCTAGGGTGACTCTCAGAGCCTTGGAAGGCACCTGTGCAAATCAGGGGCCCTGAAGCTTTAACTTTATTAGCTTCACAGTAAATCTGCCTCTGGATGGATCCATAACATGGTCGCCAAGAACAATCTGATATGGGGCTCCAACAGCTTTTCTAGCCCGCTAAAAACCTGTAGCTTGACTGATAGAGCTGTAACTGGATCCAGAGGTACTGAGAGAAGGCTATCTTGTTTCTGTTGGGATTGTAGTACCATTGGATGGCTTTGGTAAAAGCTGACTACTCTGTGGAAGCTGCTGCTGCAAAACAATGATGTTGCAGATTTTCTGTGACAAAAGAGTGGTAGGGGAGAAAAAGGTGTAAAGTCAATGATACAAATTAATTATATTTAAAAGTGTACTAACAAATACAATTCTTTGTGGTTGGTGTGTTTAGGGTACTAGCTACCTGAAGATTAAACAGGGAAAGTTTGCATCTCACAATTTTTGAAACTTAACCCTGCCTAAATCATGTATCTCTGTCTTCATAATCCTGAGTTTTGCATTCTTCTGAAACTACTGCCATTACAAATCTGTTATAGGTTTTAGGAAAAATGCTGAAAGTTAGGGTGTGAACTCTGCTGGTTTTAACAGATTGTTAGCATTTAGCAGTTACTCACAGTCCTTATAAAATGACTGAAAACAACAGCATTTTATTTTACTTCATTTGAAGCTACAAAAGCTTTTGGGAAAAGAAATGAATAGACTTTGGCTTTCTGGGAAAAAATGAGTATTTCTGATAGAATCACATTCTTCCTGGTTGAGGGATGAGGACTGACAGACCTGCGATACCTGATATTTTCATATATTTAAGAAACTAAAAGGAACAGTGTTTCATATTGGGAAGTCTGGCATGAGATAGGTTACCAGACTATGTCCACATATTCCTTAAATTGAGAGAACACCAAATCCTAACCACTAGACAACCAGGTGGTGTCAACATATTTCTCAAATTGAGGAATCACTTGGAACATTTGTGTAACAACTGATATACAGGTTCCATTGCTAAGATTCTGGTGTGTAAGGTTGGCTTGGGCCCAGGAAACTTCATTTTTTAAAATCATCTTGGGTGATTCTGATATAAGTGGTCCTTAGACAATACTGTAACAAACAATAGATTGCCTGTGGAGAGTTTGTTTGCCATGGGTAGCACCCTCTTTATAGCTGCCAAACTTCTTTTTCTCCCCAGTATGCTTTTCTATAGTAAGACTGTGTAAAATAGTGGTTGAGTGCTAACGCTGGTGTCAAAGTGACCTATGCTCCCATTCCTGCTGTGTGACCTTGAGCATATTATTTAACTCTCTTATAACTCACATTCCTTATCTGCAAAATGGAAAGAAAATATTATAGTCTTACATTTTGGGGGATTACTGTAAAAATTAAATGAGATATTGCATATAGAGCATTTAGCAGAGTACCTTACACAGGTAATCTTATGTTAGCTTGTTAGTTGTAATTGTTATTATTGCTGGTAGGCTGATTACCATAATTGATGAATGAGAGAGCAAAGAACTCCCCTAAATTGTTTTCCTGTGAAAACAGAAAGGGACTTACTAATTGCTCCACTGGATGTAAAGGAGAGAATATAGTTCATAACACATGGGACATTTGTCTATGTGAATTCATACAGTCAGGATGAAAACCTCCTTCCCAATCTTGTTTTCCTACACTATATTTTAAAGTAAACCATTCTTTTCCTTATCAGTTGTACTCATAAAAATAATCTATACAATAGAATAGAAAGTTCAGAAATAGTCTGAAAGTGCTTTATGTATGTACTAACTAAGATTATAGATACAAAGAACCAGGCTTCATTCTGTCAGAGAAAAGTTACAAATGGGAAAAGAGGGAAGGCTAAAATGAATCTTGTTGTGCTGAATTGGAATTAGAGATGTAAGTCAAAAACATCAGTATGAACTCCTGCTTAATGTAATATATATGCAGATGAATAAATATAGAAATCATGGATGTGTGTATGTATTTGTTAGTATATACACATATACAGATGGTCCCTGACTTATGATGGTTCAACTTACAATTTTTTTACTTTACAATGGGCTTATCAGGGTATTGAAGGCATTTTCAACTTACAGTAGGTTAACTGGGATGTGGCCCCACCATAAGTCATGGAGCATCAGTACTTCTTATCTCAGTTCACCAAGAGAGCCTAGAAACAGTGAAAACCTTGTAGCAATGAGTACACCTAGTATTCAGATCTTAGTTTCTAATTATCATTATCTTATAAAAGGGACCAATACTCCATGATAAAATGTTTGATTCTAGGGCTAGGGCAGATAATATAAAAATGAGTCTGGGACATCTTATAGTCCCAGAGAGTAGTGAAGTACTCAAAAAAGGAGGGAACATGTTAGAGGGACAAAGGAGCCAATCTGAAGGTGATTCCAATGACCAAAGCTGGAACAATTTGAACAAAAATAAATAAATAATGATAGTACTGGATTATAACCCATAGAATAAAATAAATATCCCTGTGTCCATACTTACAGAAATACATGATTGAATGTATAAATAAATGGGAGAGAAGAAATAACTTTTTCTTATAAAAAATTTCAATGAATATGAGTAGAAGGAATGAGGAAAATAGAAAACCACCTTTAGATAGTTACACAGTAATAACTGTTTCAGGTAAAAATCATGGATGTTAAAACTAGTGGACAAAATATGATAAGAAACATGATATTTTCATAACCCCAAAGTATCTCCCCCACAATACATATGGTAATTACAGAGATGAAATTATAACTTTACAGTGTAAAAATCTAGCAGATATTACCTTAACCAAATGATTAAAATTAACATGACCAACCATTATATATATATGTATATATATTATATATATATATGTGTGTATATATATGTGCATATATATACATATATACATATATATATATATATATATATATATATATATATATATATATGGTGCACTGTGAAGGCTACTCTATCTCTGTAGTATTCATGCAACAAATTGATAATCTCAGTCTAATCATGACCAGGTTATGAAAGACAAGGCAGTAATAAGGAACTGTCACAGATCAGAGGAGACACAGAAGACATGACGACTAAATGGAGAGTTGGGATCATGGAGAGGAAAAAGGATATTCCTGAGAAAACTGGTGGAATTTGAATAAGGTGTATAGAATAGTTAATAGTATTGTACCAATGTTAATTTCTTAGTTTCTCTAAAGAAATAGCGCTCTTTCAATAAAAATCAAAGCCATTTGCTTGGTTTCCTATATGAACATTTGAAAGAAATCTGTTTAATTACTGTTTGAATAGTAGCCCAGGAATATTCTTGGTATCACTGCCTACTGGTTTCAGGAATATTATATAAAATACTGGCAAAACCAATGTAGGTCCTTGTGGAACTGTAGATGCCAACAACATATAATCAGTGATCTTCGAACTTATACAATGTGGTTCACAAAAAATATATATACTCTAGGTAATCCTTTTCAGGAACTAGAAACAAATGAGTCCTGGAAAAAAAACCCTTATAAGCAGTGACAAACTATTTTTCTGCTCTCTTATGCTCAAACCAAGAGTGCTGAATCAGTTAGATGCTAACAATATGGGTAGATATTGACTTACTGAATTAAATTTTATGTACTTTAAATTAATGCAATGCCTATTCCATAATCATTCCAAAGCTGTAAGTAAAGAAAGAAAACCTAAATATAAAATATTGTTCTTTTCAGGATAATTTTATTCCACAACTAAAAAGGGTACTAGTTGGTCAAAAGCTCCAATCACCTATACTGAACTAGCTAATTGGAGCTATAAATCAAACATATTAACAGTGACATTAGCATCACACTTGAGAAACAGAAAAATCTGTTTCTCCTGTCTGAACCTTTTCTTCTCTTGGTGATATCCTTTTTTCATTCGCCTTTCCCGTACTTTCTCCTGTACCATCTTCCACTACTAGTGCCTGGCACATGGTAGACACAGGTGTCTTTTGAGTTAATGAATGACAGATATTTGGGAATTAGCAGTTTAGCAGAGGAAGACGTTTTGGAAGAATGGTACTTGAAATCACACTCTGAAATGACATTATATAGGATTATCCTTATCCTTTTACTTGCTGTACAGCTCCTGAAATCAGGAGAAACCCAAATGAATTTAAAGTCCCTTAATTTTATTTTGATTTTCCAATGGTTACTTCCTTTCAGAGAATAGATTAGACCAAATATAGTTTTGTAGAGGAAAAGGACACATTGCTATTCTTGGTTCTTGGTTCAGGTGCAAAATTTAAACTCATTGTGGAAAAATGGTGAAATGGTAACAGATAATACTTCTTCATAGTCTCTCAGTCTATTTGTTGGTATGTCCATTCCCCTTGGCCGCTTTTGTTGTTGTTGTTGTTGTTGTTGTTGTTGTTGTTGTCACTCTGCCTGAATCAAGACAGTGAAAGACTTGGTTATACAAATCCACCTGACAAAAACGTCAGTTATAGAAGGAACTGCAATTTCCAACTTTCAGGGAAAGTCACATCTTGCTGGAATGACTAAAGCAATGAGAAACAAGCAGACAGGATGTCCTCTGACAGAAGTATCCAGTGACAAAATATATACTCAACACTCTTCTACTTCTGTATACAACAAATACCAAATCCCAGAGTAAGGCCTATTCATAGGCAGATGCCTGAGTGATATTATTTGACAGGTGCTAGGAAAGTTACTTCTTTTTAATGGGAATCTTTGATACCTCTAAAAATGATGAAAATGAATGCTAGCAACCTATAGAGGAATCAGAAACTTTATGCAAAGGAAGTAAAAGGATGTCTCACAGGATATGGGACTCCCAGTACTCCAGACAGTACTCCAGATAAGATTCTCAGTCCAACTAACTGTATTATATGGTGGAAGCCCACAGGGAGATTCCCTCTCTTCCACATGTGGTTTTCACTACACTCTATACTCTGCTGGTGATGTTTGTGCTCAGCTTCCACCTCCACATCAGAATTAGAGAAACTGGAGGCTAGAACTCCCCCTTACTTTTATTGCTATACCTACCTAGATTTTCCAGAGAATTCCAGTTTCACATATTTGGATTCATTTTAAGATTGCACCAAGATCCATCTGGTTGTTAAAACAAAAAAACAACACAAAACAAAAACCTTAAGAAGAGTATTTGAGGTCAGGCATGATGGCTCAAACCTGTAATCCCAGCACTTTTGGAGGCCAATGTGGGTGGATCGCTTGAACCCAGGAGTTCAAGACCAGACTTGGCAACGAGGCGAAACCCCATCTCTACAAAAAATACAAAATTAGCTGGGCGCGGTGATGCACACCTTCATTCCCAGCTACTCACGAGGCTGAGGTGGGAGAATCACTTGAGTCTGGGAGGTTAAGGCTGCGGTGAACTGTGATGGCACCACTGCACTCATCCCGGGGGACAGAGTGAGACCATGACAAAAAAAAAAAAAACCTCAAAGAAAAAGAAAGAAAGAAGAGGATAAGAGGATACAGGATTTGTTAAATCAGGTACAGTTATGATCCTTGGAACCTTGGAAGGGCAACACGTTAAACCACCTACACCTTAGAGATGATTAGTTTGTTAAATGCTCAGAGGGGAGTTGGTATTAAAAGCAGCAAGAATTCTTTGGGGGAAAGAGTACAAGTGTCACTTTAGACAAACCACAGCTTTGCCTAAGGCTGGATTTGCTCTCCACCTCTCCACCCTTCTTAATTCCCTCCCTTTGTTTTACTAACCCCCACCCCTGCCCCATGGAGATGCCCTACACATCTTCCTTAACCACTATGTTATGCTGTTTCTTGCCATGTGAACTAGAGATTATATATTTATTATCCTCACAAGAGTTCCACAGGTAAGTATTAAAACTCTCATTTTATAGATGAGAAAAAACAAAACCAAGGCTCAGGGATGTTTAGTAAATAATTTGAGGTCACACAGCCAGGAGGTGGTAGTTTTGGTTTTCAATCACACATCTTTAGTTCTAAAGTCCACACTCTTACCATGATGGCAACTGTCCCTGTTGGCAATCTGAAGACCTGCTTTGTACCTAGGCTTTGCTTCTACATACTGTGGTACCCTGGTCAATTCACTTTGTTACTTTTAGAATGAGAGGGTTGGGCTGAATGATGTCTGACAATTTTCTAATTTTGAAAGTCTATAGGACTCATCAGGTCATCTTTGTAGATACAGTAGTCTCCCCACTTTTCCTCAGGGGATATGTTCCAAGACTCTCAATGGACGCCTGAAATCATGGATAGTACAGAACCTTATAGATACTATGTTATTTCCTATACTGTATATACAGGCCTATGATAAAATTTAATTTATAAATTAGGCACAGTACTTTTGCACTTGAGGCCATTATTAAGTAAAATAAGGTTTACTATGACACAAGCACTGCTATACTAACTGGTTATCAGACAGTTGCCCCAGATGGCTAAGAAGTGACTAATGTAATGTAAGTGACTAATGTAGTAAGTATATACAGCGTGGTTATGCTTGAGGACTAAGATCTGTTTTTTTTTTTTTTTATCTCACCCAAATTCCTGTCTAAGGGGTCTGGAGAGTCATGCCCTACAAACCATAAATTCTCATCAGATAGGTTTTATTTAACCCTATATATAGTGACTTACTTTCCAATCTGACTTTGGCATAACATTATGTGACAAAGAAGAAAGTCAAAATGTTTTACCCCAAAACATGTTTATTTGCCATATCTTGAAATGGCCCTGCAAAGCTGTCCTTTGTGGGGGAAAATTTTCATCTGCAAAGAATCTCTATTAACATAGCTAGGTCTTTTTCTTCCAGGCCCTCCCAATTCTAAAGAGATTAACTAAGGGTCAAGAAGGGTCTAGCACCTTTTAATGATCTGAATGGGAAACATTTGTCATATATTGTCTCTAAGGGCAGCCACTATAAGACTTCAGAATTGTCATTTAGCAAATATTTAAATTTATCTATAGCCTGGAAGCACCACTTCCCCCCCACCCCTTTGAGTTGTCCTGCCTTTCTGGACCAAACCAATGCATTTATTAAATGTATTTGATTGATGTCTTATGCTTCTCAAAATGTATAAAACCAAGCTGCACCCCAACTACCTTGGGCACATGTTCTCTCCTGAGGGCTATGTCACAGAACATAATCACCCATATTTGACTCAGAATACATCTTTTCAAATATTTTACAGAGTTTGACTATTTTCGTTGACCCACTGGACAAAGCCATGATTCATATCCAGGGCAGGATGGAGCAGGACAGTGTGGGATAGTGAGAGATTTTAACCATGCTACTCAGAATGGTGCACAATTTAAAACTTACGAATTGTTTATTTTAGGAACTTTCCATGTAATATTTTTGGGCCATGGTTGACCTTGGGTAATTGAAACCTTGGGAGGTAAAACCATAGAGAAGGGGACTACTGTAATAGACCTTTGACCTCCATGTTGAAACATAAGATTTAAAGTTATTAAGTTTCTGCTTATTTTTCACGAACTTAGTGAAGAGCATCCTATTTAGGTACTAACACATGTTCCTTTTTCAGCTAAGTAGCTATAAGGGCTGAGAGGGTTTTAATGAACATTAAGTTCTAAATGTGTATATGTATATAAAGTTTATTGAAAATGGGGCTATCTGTCTTATGATACCTCTTTCATATAATGGCCAAGGCATTTCTTGATTTTAGTGGATCTTGGTGACACATCATCAGACTGAAATTTAGTGAACCCTTTTTTGACTACTTACCCAGGGATCGACATTATTGCTCACCAATCCCATTCTCTGCAAGAAAGTTGAAACTGCAAAAATTCTTTATACTTTCCTTTTAGTTATTCAACCCTATACATAAGCATTTAGATCCTGTGAGAATGAAATTCTTTTACTACTTCAAAACCAATGGATGATTTATTGAACATTTATCAGCAGATAGAACAGCTAAGAAGTCATTATCTAAATTTTTCCCTTGTCTCACATTTCCAATCAGAGTGCTTGCTAACAGCCAGTGCACTCGGAACTCAACTTTACCAGGAACTCAAGGCCTCAGGTCATATTGCGAAGCAAAAATACTAGAATGTTAGCCTCTGAATAAATTTTGATATTATCTAGTCCATCCTCCTTATCTTAACCAATGAGAAAACTTAGCATCAGACAGATTATACCAAGAGTTATTGAAGAAATCAACAAAGTGAAGCGACAATCCACAGAGTGGGAGAATATATTTGCAAACTACCCAGCTGACAAGGAATTAATAACCAGAATATAAAAGGAGCTCAAACGACTCTGTGGAAAAAAATTATTACCCAGTTATGGTGGCTCATGCCTGTAATCCCAGCTCTTTCGAAGGCTGAGGCAGGCAGATCATTTGAAGCCAGGAGTTGGAGACCAGCCTGGCCAACATAGCGAAACCACATCTCTACTGAAAACACAAAAAATTAGCCAGGCATGGCAGCACATACACACCTGTAATCCCAGTTACTCAAGGTGCTGAGGCATAAGAATTGCTTGAACCTGAGAGGCAGAGGTTGCAGTGAGCCGAGATCATGCCGCTGCACTCCAGCCTGGGCAACAGAGTGAGACTCTGTCTCAAAAAAAAAAAAGGAAAGAAAAGAAAAGAAAATATTGATCTGATTAAAAACTGACAAAAGATTTGAATAGACATTTCTTAAAAGAAGGCATACAAATGACAAACAGGCACATGAAAAGGTGCTCAACATCACTGATCATCAGAGAAATGCAAATGAAACTACAATGAGATACCTTCTCACCTCAATTAAAATGGCTTATATACAAAAGATAAGCAGTAATAAATACAGGAGATGATGTGAAAAAAAGGGAGCCCTTGTACACTGTTGATGGGAATGTTAAGTAATAAAACCACTGTGAAAAACAGTTTGGGAGTTCCTCAAAAAAACTAAAAATTCAGCTATCATATGTTCAGCAATCCCATTGCTGGGTATATATGCAAAATAAAGGAAATCAGTATATTGAAGAAATATCTGCCCTCCTATGTTTATTTCAGCACTATTCACAGTAGCCAAGATTTGGAAGCAACCTAAGTGTCCATCAACAGATGAATGGATAAAGAAAATGTGGCACTTATACACAATGGAGTACTATTCAGCCATAAAAAAGAATGAGATGCCATCTTTTGCAGCAACATGGATGGGACTGGAGGTACTTGTGTTACATGAAATAACCCAGGCACAGAAAGACAAACATCATATGTTCTCACTTATTTGTGGGATCTAAAAATCAAAACAATTGAACTCATGGAGATAGAGAGTAGAAGGATGATTACCAGAGGCTGGGATAGACAGCGGGGACTCTGGCGGTGGGGGGGCGGGGGGGTGGAAGTGAAGATGGTTAATCAACACAAAAATAACAATTAGAAGAAATGAATAAGACTTTGTATTTGATAGAAAAACAGGGTGACTATAGTCAAAATAATTTAATTGTACACTTTAACTAAAAGTGTATAATTGGATTCTTTCTAACACAAAGGATAAATGCTTGAGGGGATGGACACCCCTTTTTCCATGATGTGATTATTTCACATTGCATGCCTGTATCAAAATATCCTATGTACTCCATAAACTTATACACTGACCTATAAAAATTAAAAGTAGTTTTTTTAAAAAAATAAATGCAAGAAATTGTTTCAATAAACGAATTGTAGTGGCTCGCATCTTTAAAGTAAAACAGCATAGAGCAGTACTCTGTAACTGCATTTAATTGGAAATAGTGATAATCTGAATCAAAATTTGGATTTTCAACAGCCTAACCATAAATCTTCCAGAGACTACACAAGTAAATGTAAATAATTGCTCTCTCTCAAGCTTCCATATATCTTCTGGAATCTAAGTTAGATTGATCATGATCAACCTTTCCGTCAGAAAGGTTTTTTGTCTGTTTTGTTGTTACAGATGTTCAGCTCAACATAATCTCTGTGAAAAGATATTAAATTACACCTATTTATTTTGATCTAATTTTGGTAAGTGTATACAACAGAATGCTCAACTCTCTGCTAGGTACTGTGGGGGAGGGAAGAAAACCTATAAAATAGTCACCCTCATTTACACTGGTCTAGCATTTTATCATCTATAATGTGCTGTAACACCTATTATCTCATCGGACCCTCTGATGATCTCTCTTATCCCGAGCTTTTAAGTTTAACAAAACAGGTTTTGCCTTTATTTTACAGATATAAAAAGGGAGGCTATGAGAAGAAATGAGACTAGAGTCCAATAGCATTAAATGTTTGTTTCCCAGGGATATTTGAGTTTCTTAGAGGTCTCAAGATATCTTAAAAACAAAACAAAACAAAACAAAATACTTTCCAGATCCTAAAGAATTAATCTCTAATGGTGTGATTTCCAGCTAACAGAAAAGACAGGTTCTGAGACAGAAGCTATCTTCAGATTGCCATACTTGGGCCCAAGACCTAGCTTCACACCCCAACTATCATTGACCTATGTGTCCTCACCTCAGACTGAGTGCTGCTCTCCTGCTGCTTTCCATCTGTTTAGGAGCCCCTTGTAATATACATTCTGGTGCAACTTGTTCTCTAAACTTTGTTTGCTCCCTTTTCCTACCTAATCAATATTGCTCTGTCCTGTGCCTGTGACCTAGTCCCTTAGGGCACTTTGTTTTTTGATAATGTATCTCTCTAAGGTGTTAATAAATGCTAACAAACAAATGCATCACTATCCCAGGGAAAGTAGTTTTCATTTTAACTGGAGCTTTTCAGAGAACTGTGCTTTATACTGTTAATGTCACTCTCTGGACAAAATCTTCAAAGGCTCTTCATTGCTAATCAAGTTAATTCCAAATGCTTCAATCCTGGGGAATAAGGCCCCCAGAATTTCATCCCATTCTAAACTTTCTAGGCCAGTTCTCCCAGAAATCTACCCTGTGTGTTCAACGAATTAAACCATTCCCTTTGCCCCATATGTTTCCATGTTTCCACTTCAAATGGTATCCTGTCTTCTCCATAAATACTTCCCTAATCTCTGACCACTGTCCCACTATCAGCCTTTAAACTTTTATCAACTAACCTTTGAAGGACTTTAGATTAGCTGTTGAAGGATTGAGGGAGGAATTGAAACAAGCAGCAAGATGAGGAGTGCCCACTAAACTAGAAAGGTAGAAGGGTTTCAGAGATAAGCTTTGCCAATATCATACTCTTGCCAGGGACTTTGCCTGGAAATGGATGTCTAGTAGTCACTACTTGGAAAACTTTGTCTAGATTCAGCTGACTCTGAAAAAGTAGGCCCATGGGTATCAGACTGAGGAATATAAAAAGTATGAAGAATATCCTTAGAGTGAGGAAAACTGAGACCTCTAGAGAGGAAGTGACATGCCTAGAATCATATAGCTAGCAAAGTGGCAGAATTGTTGCATAGTTCACTGCTCTTGAAGCTCCCTATGGGAAGAACTTTACCCTGTGAAGATATGCCTTGTCTGTGTACTTAGAGCCTTTGCTCACGTTTACCGCACCCCCCAACCTTTTGGTTTTCACCCATGCCCTAGAGTTTCCCTTGTAACTACCTCTTAATCATTCTACTGCCAGCAATTCTTTTAAAGCAGTATTCCCTTTCATGCAATAACATCTTCTCAAATCACCTCCCTGATAGGAGGTAGTGCCACTAAAAACCCTTTTATTTATTGCTGTAGTGCACTTAAACATCTAATGAGTCAGATTTTTTATTTTTGTCCCTACTTTCCAGGGCCTGGTGAAGTATCAAGTTTTAGGAATATTATATAGTAATGGAATTTGACTAATCAATAGCTGACCTTGACTCAGAATTCCACATATCTTACCTCTGTCTTCCAGTACACATTCTTCCTTTGCTTTTCAGATTGTGGATTGGTAACTCTCATAATCACACCATCAGTTGGGGAGGTGGGACTATGCATACAATGTTTGATGAACAGCCAATATAAGAGAATTAAAAATAATGAGATTTTGGATTCAGAAATTATTGAGCTTTATGCTTTAATTTTACATAATATGTATTGATTATCTGCCTTGAAAGATGAGGAAAATAGCACTCTTATACTTCCTATACTCTCTTCCACCACTTCCTGATTTTTATGAGATTTATATTACTCATGTGCATTATGTTTTTATTGACACAAATTTAATATTTATCTTTTACGTATCCATTAACATAGATTTATGATTATTGCTTTATGCATTTGTCTCTCATGTTATATAAGAAACAAAAAGAGGAGTTACAAAACAAAATATAATAATACTATCTTTTATATTTACTTGCATAGTTACCTTTACCAGAGATCTTTAATTTTTTGTATGACTTTGAGTTACCATATAGCTTCCTTTCATTTCAGCCTAAAGGACTCTCCTTAGCATTTCTTGTAGGAGATATCCAGAGACAAATTCCCTTGCTTTCATTTATCTGGGATTGTCTTAATTTCTGCTTCATTTTTGAAGGATAGCTTTTCCAGGTGTGGTATTTGGTATTTTTGGTGACATATGACCCAGCAATTCTACCCCTGGATATATACCTAAATGAACTGAAAACAGGTATGTGACTTGCACAAAGCTAAGGAAACAAATTGAGAACAACAACAACAACAAAAACCTCACTATTTGAAAATGAATAAACTAGAAATAGCAAGGAATTGAGCAGAATTGCTTAAAATCAAATTAATAAAAGAGAAAAATTCTGAGATAATCACAGCAAATTCAGAAGATAAAGACAAATTAGATTCAGGAGAAAATAATAAAGACGGATAACAAAGATGATCTAGTAAGGAGAATGCTAATAGAGAATAACCTCTATTCTACAAATAGAATAAAGGAATTATTAGAAGGTATAACAGCAGGAAAATTCCTTGAACTAATGACAGAATTAAATATGCAAATATAAAGACTATATTTTATGTTTCAGGTGAATTTGATAGAGATTGAAATTAAGTCATATCCTGATTACATCCTTAAACTTTAAGGATAAAGAAGGCAAGTCATGTACATGTGGAAAAATAACTGGCTCACGTGAAACTTCTTCTAAGATACATGTGGTGTCAGAAGACAATGGAAAAATATAATGTTCTAAAAAACAGTGTGATCCAAGAATACTAGCCAAGTTTTAGATCAAATATGAAATTAACAGGCAGATACTCTAAAGCATTAAAGAACTCAGAATATATAACAACCATGAGTCTTCTTTGGGGGAGAAAAAAAAAAACTACTGAATAATGAAGTGTTTAATTTTTTAAAAAACTGTGGGCCTGGTGCGGTGGCTCACGCCTGTAATCCCAGCACTTTGTGAGGCCTAGGCGGGTGAATCACTTGAGCTCAGGAGTTTGAGAACAGCCTGGGCAACATGGTGAAACTCTGTCTCTACTAAGAAAATATTTAAAAATTAGCTGAGCATGGTGGCATATGCCTATAGTCCCAGCTACTGGGGAGGCTGAGGCATCTGAATCGCTTGAACCCGGGAGGCAGAAGTTGCAGTAAGTCGAGATTGCGCCACTGCATTCCAGCCTGGGAGACAGAGTGAGACTCTGTCTTAAAAAAAAATAAATGATAAATAAATAACTGTGAACGATGAATGACTAAAAAAAAAATGGAGACATTGTAGAAAAACTATCGGTTGTGAATATTTATCCCATTTAATCATAGCCTCAAGAATAAACTGGGGAGATTATGATTACATAATAGAGTATGAATATCACATATTCTGATAAAGTTGTAAATGTTATAAATTGTGATTATTATATATTTACACAAAATAAATCTTGCTTCACCAGTGTTCCATGTCTTTTTGGTATGTTAACCAAAAGAATGAATTTCCCTTCTGGAATGTTACTCCTGGGAGGTAATTCATTATTTATGACACTGAAATTAATATACCAAGGTTTTCTTTACTTGAAAGTCAAGCCTTGTTGAATTCTTCTCAGGAGATTCAGAGGTTTTTTTCTATATTGTTATTGGTTGCCGATTTGTGCAGGGCTTGTCTTCTCCACTCTTCAAAGAGAACAATTATTTTTTCCTAATAATTCCTGAACCGAGAAGCTGGAGATTTCTCTCAGATCTTTAGTTTCCTGACAGAAATGCTACGCTTTTCTCTCCCATTGACTTAGTAACTCAAAACCTTATTGATGCTACACACTCCTGCTTCTTCCCAATATCATTAAGAAAAAGCAATGGCATGATAGATCTCTTTCCATGTGATGTGAGGGGAACAATTGATGCCTGGTTTTTGGCTCTTATTTGCCATTTCAGCTACTACTGGAGATCTCAATATTCCTTTGACACTAGACTCAATCTGTTAGAGCTAAAAGGTACTTTGGAGATCAATAGAACATCTTCATTTTTATAGATGTGGGAACTAAGGATCAATAGAATGTGGTAAAGCAACAGCACTTCATATTGGTTAAAAGTGTGATCTCTGGAGTCAGACAGACCTGAGGTTGAGTACCAGTCTTGACTCTTACTAACTGCTTGGACTTCAGTTCTGAAGCCTGTATAGCCCCTTTTGGCTATGTACAATATTGGGCATTTTTTTTTTACCCCTTCTGAGCTGCAGTCACCTAATCTATAAAGTGTTGATTATAATAGTTTCTACCATGTAGGGATGTTTTAAGGGTTATATGTGATATAAAGTACTCCTCAATTGCTTGGTTCATAGTAAATGTATAATACACATTTACTATTGTTGTTGTTGTTTTACTGGGAAAGGAGAGTAACTTGTCTAAAGTTACATCAGAATTATATGAAATATTTGGGACTCAAATGTATTTCTCAACTCCTAGTTCAGTAATCTTTCTTCTGCACTAGACTGCTTCTTCATGAAGTGCTTATTTAAGAAATATATAAGCCCTCCACAACACAAATGAATTATAGTATTTTATGTTTGATATTGTTATTTAGAACATTCTGAATAGACCTATCTTGCCACACAGTACATAAAATGCAGAAGAAGAAATGTCCTTCACGTCTCCATAGTCCACAATTAGAATAAAGAAAAACACCATTAAGAAACTAGAAAAATATAAGATGAGCAGGAAAATTTTTCTCGACATTTGGATTTGATTTTCTTTCTGCTTAGTTTTTCCTGTCAAATTGGTATTTATGTGATTACAAATGAGCTATGAGCCAAGGACACTGAAAGATCCAGGTTTAAAATGGCTTTAAAGAAATTGTCCATACCTCTGCAAGTCCGACACATTTCAGGGAGCCAAAAAAAGGGCAATAAATTGGGTGGGGGTAGGGTGGGCAGAGAGGGGAGAAACACAGTAAAACAGCCAGTGGAAGAGGAACTGGGGCATGGAAAAAGCAGCAAACTTGGGAAAATAAAAAGAATGGGTTCAGCAAAAAGATAGACCCCAAAAGTTGATACTAACATGCAGGAGACTTTTAAATGACTATTATTTTACACTTAGAGCAGGGACCAGATGAAAATAGAGAGGAGTGAGTCTACCATCTCTCTCCCTGGCTCTCTGAAAATGGCAGAATGTGCATATAAGCTTTTTAATTTCTTTTAACTGTGATCCACACCTGTACAACCACACCCAGACAGTAGGTTAAAATCAAGCAGAAACAAAGAGCTGCTGCCCTCATATTAAAACTAATTAGACTTGTACATCTGTGATCCTCTTGACAACCTTCAGGCCTCTAAATCTCTGGACCCTGCTTGCCTCCAGAACCAGGCTATGCCTTAACTTAGGCCTGTACCTTTGCCCAGCAATCTTTTACTTCATCTAGCAGGGCATATTAAAGAATTAGAATGCTGTAGACTGGAAACTGAAAATTTTTCTGCCCATATTATATTTTTCTATAATTTAAGCTGAATCAAATCAAGGGGGTTTAGAGAAATAATTGTTGACTGGATAAATACATGAGTATGTTCATTTTTAATTTTTTTAGCTATTGCTTTTTGCAAGATCAAATTTTACAGTCACATTAATGAGGTGAGGGATAGTTCTCTCCCAATCTAACACGCTTGGATTCCTTCCTACCTTTCATTGGTTGCCTTCCAATTTCCTCTACCTCCCTCTAATCTTAGTGGGCCTTAGATAATTTCCCCCATTACACCTAAGGAAATAGTTGTACAAAGCTGAGGCCTTAAAATCCTGACAGGAAAAATAAAACTTGAGCTAAGAAAATTGATTTACTGAAGTAGTTAATTCAATATACAGGGAATGTTACTACAACTTACATCCTTTTAACAGCTATAATTAGAGCTTGAAAAGTTTTGCCTGGCTGTTTTAGTGTGTAATTTGTGATTCATTCAATCAACCACCATTTATTGACTGCCTACCATGTGCCAGGCTCTGTGCTAGGTAGGCACTGTGCCAGTTACTACAAGGAAAACTTCATGTGGGTATTATTATTATTAAATTTATTTCAACAGCTTTTGGGGAACAGGGGGCTTTTGGTTATATGGATAAGTTCTTCAGTGATGACTTCTGAGATTTTGGTGCACCTATCACCTGAGCAGTGTATACTGTACCCAATATGTAGTCTTTTATCCCTTATCCCCCTCCCATCCTTCCCCTGAGTCCCCAGATTCCATTATATATTCTTATGCCTTTGCATCCTCATAGTTTGGCTCCCACTCGTAATTGAGAACATATGATATTTGGTTTTCCATTCCTGAGTTACTTCACTTAGAATAATGGTCTCCAAGTCTATGCAAGTTGCTGCAAATGCCATTATTTCATTGCATTCTATGGCTGAGTAGTATTCCATGTTGTATATATACCACATTTTCTTTATCCACTCATTGGTTGATGGGCATTTAAGTTGTGTGGTGTGTGGGTATTATTTTAAATGGAGCTACTTGAGAAAAGATTTAATTGTTTTCCTGTGATCCTCTTTACACAATCTATTGCAACATCTGGTCACCATTTCATACCTTTTGCCTTTGGCACAGTATCTTGCTACCACCTGGGTCCTACTCTGTGAAATGTCTTTCTGTTCCTGTTTCTATGGACAACCGGGGATGCTTATTGTGGTTTTTATGAATGACAATTATGTTCTACATGGGATGTAGTCCCAAGACACCTCTAGTAGGGACTGGCTTAGTATGGGAAGTTCTGCCAAGAGTTAATGCCTTTTTATCCTGCAATTCTTGTCCCCTTTGGCCAATTACATGTGGTGGGGAGTAGACTAACAACAGCAGACCTCTTTTGTGGTATACTAATCCAAGTCCTGAGTTATATTCTGGGACAAATAAGCCTGAACTTGGAGTAAGTAATAAGGTAAATGAACAAGAAGCAGTAGGAGCATGAAGGGACAAAGAGAGAACTATTTTGCCTAACAGCCATGTCTCCAAGACAGAATATGAAATGAGATATCCCAATCTTCAAATCAGAAAGGCAAACCCTATATTCTATTCTGATAGAGCATTTGCCCAAAGATTTAGTTAGATCCAGAAAAGTATCCCAGAGTCCTGTACATTGCTTTAACTTCAGTTTTGATCCCTGTATAGTCTTACTCTCTTCTGTAAGGTTCTTGTTTTTCCATACCAGGTGAGGTGATGAAAATTGGAACTCCTGGTCTAAGAATTTCAGACATATGAAATATTCCTACTGTGGAGGCTCATCTGGGTGTATCAGAACTTAGGGTACTATTCTTAGGCTCAGTTTTTACCCTCAGTTTTCCCCATGTCTTATCTATAGACGCCACTTTTGTCCACGCCAGTTAGGATGTCAAGTTAACAAATTCTGCTTGCATGTTAGGACCCTGCTTCGGTATGTACTCTTGTGCCAAGCCTGAATTAAACTCACTGCTTATTTTAACTCTGTCCATATCCTGTTCCCTCTGTTTTACTGTGACACCTGGGTCTTTGACCTTAGTTTTTCCCTTTGGATCCATTATACACTTGAGCTTCTCATTCTGTAGGACTTGATTTCTTCTTCTCCATTCTCCTCATGTTGCCTGTAAGACTTACTCTCCAGAGTATTCTTTCTGCCTTACTGACACACAGAGTTGTCTATTGGAATTGGGGAAGGCAGGTCCAGGGTCTGGACAGTAGGCACAAGCCAGCAGCTTCTTGATTTTTGAGGCTAAGTCCTTCCCTCAGCTAGAAAGCTGACATGTTAGACAGGGTTAAATCAGAAATGGCCAGGAATTTGGGAGTTCTGACTTATGATTGGTGAGGACAGAGATTCCTGGAGTCCTGCCACTCTTAGAAGGGTATAAATGGACAGCACTGAATTAAAACCTTCACAGGTGTAGAGAGAAGAGAGAGTGGCCACCATAGGCTCAGGAGCAAATAGCAGGTATCAGGTAAGACTTCTGATTGCTGTGGTATATAGACTGGCCTGAGTCTTTCATCAAGAGAATGTGGGTGAGTGAGTGTGTGTGTGTGTGTGTATTCTGGGCACTGAAAGCTCATCAAGAAAGTCTCACTGAAATCACAGCTTTCTTTCCTGGAGCTGTATATTGCTTCCTTTTCCTTTCCCCCATGCATCACACCTGCCACATGAGTATGTTGTGCCTGAAGACTTGGTGTTTATAGAAAGGTGGAGTCTTTTCCTGAGGAAGATGGTTTCTCTAGGGGAAATTAGAACTGATAAACAATAATTACATTCAGCAGGCCCCATTACGGAGAAAGCTGACAAAAGAAGGGAGGGTGAAAACTTCTGTTCCCAAGCCAGGTAGGACTTGGAGGGAGCAAGCAGAGAATTGAGAACTTTGTGCCAAAGCTGAAGAAGTCTTGAGGGTGATACCAGAAAGGTTGGCATGAAACCTACTTGGATAATAATCCCTTATACTTCTACAGTGCTCCATGCTTTGCAAAGTGCTTTTACATTCATTATTTCACTGAGTTCTTGCAGCGTATTTGTGAGGTAGTTAGATGTGGTGTTTGAGGTAAAGGAATTTATGCAACGTCACAAAATAAGTCGGTGGCAGAGGTGTAACTAAAAAGCAGGGCTCCTGATTTCTGGTCCTGTGCCCTCCCACTGCAGCAGGCTGACTGCCTCTGGATGAAGATGAAGGGCCAGCTTCTCTGTGGTGAGCAGTTTTTCAAGAATATTCTTAAAACAGGCATGAAAGCAGCAGAATGAAAAACTAATTTGTCACTGGTTATTCCTGGGGACTTGGGCTACTTTGTCTCAGTACACTTGATTAGCTTTCCAGAATTCAACTTTGCTTTCTTTAGCAACAAATCTATCCTTTCTTTCCTAACAGATAGCTGCTAGTTATTGGTTTCTCAAATAAGAAAATGCCCATTTCTGCTGTTCGAACTGATAACCTTGCTAAACTCACACAGTTTTCTTCTTGCAGAGTTTTGGCAGTGAACAGAAGTCTCACACCCTTGTGAGGGCCACTAGGCTGGTTTCTGATCACAGCCAGTCATTTGAAGCATGGCTGCAATTTCTAGGGGACACCAGGTTTGGCACTCAGAAACTCAGAGACTCAGATTGAGCCAATAATCTCTCTTCAAATAATTATCTTTAAGCTCTGCTCTGGTTGTTAAAGTGAGCTGTAAAATGGGCACTTTCTCTCTCCAAGTCAATAGACAGAGCTGTTCCTAGAAAATATATATATATATATATATATCCAAACACACACATATGTATATATGCAAACACATAAACATCCCATTCTTCTTCTGCAGCCAGGCCTATCCTCTGTTCCAAAGCAAAACAGCCAGAGGTGGCCTTGTCTTTTCTCTATTTCATACATGTACCATCAAGCTGACCTCTAAGTGATTCTTCTACTCTCAGACTTTCCACGTTATTCCCTATAAACCAAATGTTGAGAGAGAGAGAACACAGTGTGATTTCTCTCAGGTCTTCAACCTACTAGAGATTACCCAGCCTTTAGGCAACTTACTGAGAACAGACATACCTGAACAGAGTGTCTACCCACTCTTCCCTTTTACAGTTTTAATGTGGCCCTTCAATTTACCCACAACTGCAGGAATAGCTCAGATTCTCTCCAGAATCAAGCAACTGCCTGACTGTAGAAAGCAATTTGGCAGTTGCCCTAACTTGGACTTTCTCTAGCTCCTGAGATAGGTCACTATTGTGTAAAACTAAATGAGAGCATATTATCATAGTACCTGAAAGATTAAGTGAAATTTCCTAAAAAGTGTATCACGTATAGTCTGGTAGTGACTTACACTCCAGGGAAACTGATTATATTACTTTATCCATCATGTGCTTCATAGTTTAGTTAATGAAAACACTGCTATTAATTGATGATTTAAATACATGCCTTATCAAAATGAGAATGAACCCAATCTTCATTTCACAGACCTTAAAATTTTGAATGTTGCTACTGGGTCCTATATAACCCAACAGTCTCTTGCAAAAGGATGGTTTTCTGCCTTCCTTCACATATCAGTTTGTCAATGTCCTTCTTCAAATGTGCCCATACTTCCAGATATTTGCACACTGAATATGGTATGTTTCATTAAGAAAAATGTATAACAATTTGATCCAGACACTGTAGTGTTTTAAATGGCATTATCCTGGTTTTAAAATTTCATTGGCTTTGCTTTTTGGTGGTGGTGTTTTCTATTTTTGGGTTTTGCTTTTCAGCAGCTACCTTTCACTACTGGCGCTCTGTGCTCATGTTCAACAAAAAAGCTCCAGTGATATCTTTATACATACTGTTGCTAAGAAAGGTATCTTTCTATAGTTAATTTTTTAAACTAAATTCAGACATTTTGTATTAATTGCTTCTTAGAATTCATGTGGCTAGATTTTACCCATCTTTTCAGATTGGCATCAGACAAAGTTTCTCTCCCCTGCAGTTTTGTCATCTGCCAATTTAAAAATGATTATTTTTCTATTTTTATTTGAGACTCTAATAACAATGTGAATAAAATAGGAGAGGCTTATAATTTTCCACCGTTGTCAATACAGAATTAATTAATATATTTGGTGAGAATGGTTAGTCACCTAACTATAAATTCTCCTATTCCCTGAAGCCACATTTTGTCTATCCTACCAACAAGGAGATTACATTTTGTTCAATTCAGATATACTAGTGATGAGGCATTCATCTGATCTTTCAGGCTATTCATGCTATTAAAAAAGGAAATGAAGTTAGTTTGGCCTGACTTGTTGTCTGTGAACCCATGCTAGTGTATTGAAGATGAAATAGTCTCTGTGTTGCCAGTTTAAGCTATTTGAATTTAACCAGGAGTAATTACATGTCCTCAGACTTCAGAGTAGTTGTACTTTCATGACCATACGCAGAAGTGGAACTCAAATTCCAACAGACAGAGCTCATGTTTCAGAAGCAGCCATTTTTAACACAGAACTGACCCAGAAGTCAGTATGATAGACAGAAATAAAAGCTGGAAAATTGAGAGAATATAACCTTAGTCTGTTAGGAAAGAAAATGAGATGAACAATAATTATATTAGTCTGTCTTTTTTCCTATCCCTTTAGAATCATCTTGTTTCGTTCTTTTCTGAAGTTTGGGTTAGAGACCAGGCAGAAATTTAAAGAATGTGCATTGACAGAATAACTGAAAGAGTCTTAAAAAACAAAAGGAGTCAAAAGGATTTAAGGCAGCTGTGGTCTAGCTAAAAGAATATAACTCTAGGTCAAGACCTGGGCTCAAATCTGAGTTCTAGCACATACTAGCTGAGTGACCTTGGGCAAATAATTTAATTCTTTTGAGCCTTGGTTTCTAGGTTTTTGCATGTTTTTTTTCAGATGGTTAATACCTCATGAAGTTGTTGTGAAGGTTAAAAGGGAATATGCCTCACTCTCAAATGCTTCCTTCACAAAATATAAAAGCCAAGAGAAATTGCTCAACAGGGACTCACTTTCCTGCTGTTCTATTTTGGAGCCTGTCTTTTGTGGGGAGTCTTAGCTTGCTATTTTGTAAGGTTTTATTAGTAAAAGATGTCCATGTGAACCCAATCAAGTTTATAGAAATCACCCTGACTTTTGAATTGATGCGATAGCTTGAAAGATCGAGCATTATTAATGATGGACATATATATATATATTTTACCTTAGAAATGCAACTATGCTTTTTCCTATAATCTGAATTTCTTGTCACTAAATTGGGTTAGGCAAATCAATATTGTTTTTCTGTGTTGCAAGTTGAAAAGCCAAGGTATAGCTAAATTGTTTAGTGATCCAAATGAACTATGCAAAACAAGCTATTGGAGTGTGGATATAAAAACAGTATAAAACTGTTGTTAGTTTTAACTTGTTTTTTACATTTTCTAATTTTGCAGATAGATAGATAGATACATTAATATAATTGACCTACAAATTTGGAGGGTGCATACCCAACATGTATTGATGGGGTACACAAAATATAGAGATCACTGGTTTGAGGATGATAGAAACAAGATTAGAGAACTTTTGTTAGAAATTCATCATGCTTAAAATCAAATGCCTTTGTTTCCCCTATGAATCTGTTCCTCCCCTTGACCTAGCTATTTCTATCAATGATTTGATCATTCTCTTAGTCACCCAAACTAGGAACTTGGGAGTCATCTTTTCCTCCTCCTCTCTCATATATCACATAAAATTAGTTGCCAAGTCTATTTCTGAAACATCTTTTATATGTGCCTCTTCCTTTCAAATTCTATTGCCACCACACTAGTTCATGTTTTAATTAGTTTTTTTTTAAACATGGGTTACTGCAATATTGTAACAGCCTTCTAACTGCCTCCTGTCTCTTGACCCAGTTTAACCTATCCATTATGTGATATCCCTTCTATTATAGTATGGGCTACTTAAAAACAAGCAGGCATGGGCAGTTTCTTTTATCTCTTCGTCCATGGTGCCTTGCATATGGTAGGCATGCAAATGTGTCTAAATGGATGAAATTATATTGGGATTTGATTTTCTGTCTAGAACTGAGAGGGTTATGGCCTTGGGGTTTGAAACTCACATAACCCTTCTCAATTTATACAATCAAGAAAGGTTAGACTAGCAGTCGACAAAAAGCAATGTTTTCTAAATTCATCCTCAAATACTTATTGTTGTTAGCTACTCTGCAAATCTCACTTTATCTAAAAAAACATTTTATAAAGAAAATAGTGTATTATGGATGAAATGCTACTTCTCTCTACTAATACATGCCCATAGGGAGCATTTGCTCTCATTCTTTGTCTTTATCTGGAGAGTCAGAGTTGAATTCTTGGCTATTCTTTCTTACTAACTTATGATTACCTGGCTGAATTATTACAAATTATATAAACTTGCTGTGTTTATACAGAAATAATTGGGTTTTCCTTCCTTCCTATCCTTCCCCACTTTCCTCTAGCTACTTCATAGGGATGGTAGAAATATGATTCTACATCTGACATGACAGGAGTCTCAGAAGAAAAACTCTATAAATTCAGAGCAATGTGATGAAGCTGCATTTTGGGAAGAAAAATAATGAAAATAAAATATAACAGGTTCATTCCTGTATAACTATGAACTTTTGTTGTCAGTGTGTTCAAAGACTTTCAGAAATAGTGTATATCAAGTGGTCTTAATGTAAAAAATGTATTAAAGGAATAGATAGTAATTCTTATATTCTTTCCCATTTATATTACAAGTACACTTGGTGAATTCTACCAAGCACTTAATATAAAAATAATTTTCTCCTTCTCCCATTTTCTTTCCCACCTGTAGTTTAAGGGAGCATGTGAGCCTCCCTTGCATTCACAATTCTTCCAAATATCTATTACAGAAATATTCTTTATTGAACATTATCCCTCCACCTCTCTGGCCACAAGCTCTAACATTTCCCTTTGAGTTTCTCTTAACAATTCCAGTTCATTTTCATATGTTATTTAGAATATAAACCCATGTTCATTCTATAAATCTCTCATTTTCATTTTAAGAACCAATTCACTAACATATTTAATATATACAGTCTTTATTTCTAGCTGTGTGTTTCAAGGCCTGAAGCTTCTTCCTTTTGTTTTTATCAGATTATTTCAACACCAAAACACCTGAGCTGAGTACCTAATGCTAATATATTGGCAGCAGTGGATGCTTTTTTATTTTATTTTATTATTATTATTTTTTTTTGCTTCAGACTGATTATAGCCAACTCCTTTAGGTCAGCATGACAAAAAGGCTGCTGATATCACCATTGATTGCTCTGTTTTTCTCATGCCAAAGCGATCTGTTAAATCAGTGCAAAATTGATTTCTGCAACTTGAAGCTACAAGGATACAATTGCTTTCTAAGCTGCCACATCAATCAGATATCTTAAAAATCGTTAGTGAACTTGGGTATAATCCATGAGTGTGCCCACCCATGTGATTAGATGATGTATTCTATCTACATTCATTTTCCCTTGATGGTCACTTAATATGTGCAGAAATTATAACATACTGTGTGGTCTACTTAATATAGGTTACTTGTGAATCATCTCAGAGCAGTTACCGTAGCAAATTTCCAAGCAATACTTAACTGTTGAAAAGGATATGTTCCTTTGGTCATTTCAAGCTGATAAAATCCCAAAGGCACTTCTTTCACGGGCTTCTAATTTGTGGGAATTAAGATTTGCCTTTGTTCTACTGCTTTGTATTGCCAGTTGAGTAAGGTATTCTCTGGAGTTGTGATGGTCTGTATAGTTATTATCATTCCATACTTTCTATTGAAGTTTTTTATTTTAACAGGTTGCCTGAACTTTAACTCGGGCAAATGTACTTGAACATAGAATTAGCTTAGCTTTTTTACAAAGATGTATGAACAAATTTCTTTTTTTTATATATTTTAAGTTCTGGGGTACATGTGCACAATGTACAGGTTTGTTACATAGTTATACATGTGCCATGTTAGTTTGCTGCACCCATCAACTCGTCATTTACATTACGTATTTCTCCTAATGCTATCTTTCGCACAGCCCCCCACCCCCGACAGGCCCCGGTGTGTGATGTTCCCCTCCCTGTGTCCATGTGTTCTCATTGATGAGCAAATTTCTACAAGTGTCGTGTTTGTTAAGAAGTTTTAGGCCTTGAAGAGTACAAATAACTTCATAGTAGTAAGATGGGATCTTGGTTTCATTACTGAGATTTTATGAAACTTCTACACATGTTGGAAATAGGAATTTGTTGCTTTTTAGACATTTTCCTGTGTATATAGAGAAGGAATTAGAAAGATTCATATAATAGTAAAAAAAAAAAACCTTGAACAACTAGTGAGTGAAGCTAATTTATTCCAAATTTTGGGCCTCAAAATATTATAAGAACAGATCTAGCTTGTGTGGCTGGTTTTGGAAAACATTAAACAAAACAAAACAGAACAAAAAAACCTAATGAAAGGCAAGTACATAAATTTGTTCTGATTGATACATTTTCCTACTCGCTGCCTCATGGTTTCTGCATGGGTTCTTAGCAGCAGAGGCCCAAGTATAAGAGGACCAATACTTCATGTTATTTTAAGACCAACTATATTCAATTCTGCTATGCTCACAATGAGAGGAAATGTCTTAGTTCTACCCTCTCTTATCTCTTGTTTAAAGTCAAGATGGTGTCTCTTTTCTGATCCACACACTAGTAAAAGAATTAATTTTATACATGCAAGGTGTTTTCATATAACCTATAGCCATTCATCCCCACTACAATCCCCATTTCACAACTGAGAGAAGTAAAGCTTACAGATATGAAGTCACTCATCTACGGTCACAAATTAGTAAAGGGCAGACTTGTTATTGGAGCCCCTACTCCTCTTGAATTATCAGTGATGAAAATGGAAGAATTTACCTTTACCTGGATCCAAATAGAAGTACCCAAGAAGAAGCTATCTCATAAGAGGGTGCAGTATTGCTCTCTGTTTAACTAGAATGGGAAAATTGGTGTTCTTTGATTTATGTTATTGTCGTTATGGTGATCGACACATAATCAAAAACCCTCAGATTAATCTGGTGTAAGTTTTTCATAACATAAAATCAGTTGCCCAGTATTATTACAGTGATTTGTTTTTGGACTAGAAATACCCTAATAAGATGAAAACTTATCTATAATTGCCACATTTTAGATTGTCAGTAACAACAATGATTTGTTACCAGGATTTGTGAATCTAGTTACCAAGGTGAGGTCTAGAAATGTATCCATCCTTTTGCCAAAGCTAAATACTTAATTATTTGTTTTATAAAAGTTTTTTAAAATGTATCTATTAAGAGACACCTATAAAATAGCAGAGTGAGAGGAACTTGGAATCTGAAGGTCAGGTTTTATGTTCTAGCTCTGTTGCTGTGACCTTGTGTACATTGCTTAATCTGTGGGAAACCAATCTTAAACCAATGAACAGAGATGATGTTTGTGAAAGTGCTTTGCAGACTGTGAAAGTACTATATAAAGTTTAGATACTAAGTGACATAGCTACATCTGATTATTTCACTGTGTTAGAGATTGTGCTTAATGGCAAAATCCTTTTTCCCTTGACCAAATTTTATTGGTTTGTTGTTATAGTTTCTTCTCAGTGAATCATATAGTGATGATCAGACACAGTCATAGAATTCTTTTATCAGCTTTGTTTGAAAGCTAATTGCTGGCGAACCAAATATGGTGAGGTCTTGCCTCTTGTTTTAAATCAACCCTGTGTTTCTCATGTGTCATTCTCTCTTAATTTGATGATGAATACTAGGACCATTACCCTTATTTTGGCCAAATATAATTTAGAAATTTTCACATGTATATTTAAGTTAAATATGAGCCTCAATTATTTTACTTTTTGAAAGTAAAATGGAATCCTTTAGTTTTTCTAAAAGGTATATGATATTTTTCATGAATGTCAAAATAATTTGGTCTTAGTGTAATTTTTAATGACTATCACTATTCTAACTCACCAAATCCTTCAGTGTCACTTAGCAATCTATCTGTTTTTAGCCTTAAGATAATTTGATGTTGTTTTACATTTAAAATTTTGGCTAAGTCGATATAATTCAGAAAAGTGAAACTCAGTTTTCAAGGCTGATTTTGCTATTAGGTTGTTATAGTGTAATCAAGGAATGAATTCATCATATCCTGCTCTTTGTTTTAGTGGTGTTGAACTAATCATTTTCTTAACATCCTCACACAGATTATAAGCATACTTTCTTTAAAAGGTTTACTTCAAGAGTGACAATTTGGGGGCAATTAAATTCTCAATATTAGCTCTTTTCTGCCTTCATGTGAAAGCCATTGGTTCAATTACAGCTTTCAGGTGAAACATATTATACTTTGTCATGAGTAGTCTGATCTTTCTTGTATGTTTTCTCCATTCCTATATATAGGCAGTCAAGGGTCACCAAAGGAAGTTGAGATTCTTTGTAAACCTCTATCACATTTCCAAACAATTTCTAGTATCCTTTTCCTGTTTATAAAAAGCAAGTGCAGCTCAGTGCCAGTGCTCATTTAATTTTACATAAACACCCTCTTTGAGGCTGAAGCAAATCTGACTAATTTTCAATGTGAAAATAAAATATAAAACCTTTTCTTGGAGTTATTTCTAAACAGAACTAATATCAGCATTGTCTGAATCATCAGAATCATCCATTTCAGAAGAATCAGATTAATTAAATGAATATTTGGCCAACAAATATTTGAGAAAGATGTTAACATCATGTGTTAGGAATGCTACATTTTCTAGGATTTGACATTTTCAGTGACGGTGAATTACTATATTTTGTAAATGGAAATATCACCACTAAAAACGGAATGCTATAAATAGAATGATGTCCTTTGTTTCCAAAGTCCATATACTAGAGTGATGCGAAAACAACAATAAAAGTGAGGTATTTTGTGACAAAGTTATCTCAGGGTAAACGATCCAGCCTCAAGCGCTGCCAGCGCATATTCTCGGGGTAAACGGGAAAAGGGTTAAGCCCCAAACTCCAACCTCATCTTCGTCATGTTTCCTCTAAGTAGTGCTTACATTGACATTGAGAAGTAGATGTTTGTATAAATGAGACACTTCAAATATTTCTCCTCTCCACTCAAATCTCTATCTTTTCACCAAGTACCATTTCTACATTATCTTCTATGGAGTAAGTGTTCTTTTTTTTTGATTACAATGTTAACTCATACACCATGTCCTTAATTCTACTATTATTCTGCATTTACAAGAATTTTGCTTTATCTGTTGTCCATATCTATAAGCAGGACCAACTTTTGGCAAAATGACAAATGAAGTAAGCAAAGTTTTCCTTCTCTTTTTCATTTTAATATCATTTCCAGCTGTAATCTTGCCCTAGGGGCACTTTCCAACATAGAATGAAGTTCTCTCAACTAGTGGTCATATTTGTGAGTATATCTGATAAAGTACTACATATTAATAACTAATGACTGCAAAAAGATCAGCCCTTGGCCCTCCTCGGCAACAATTACATCTTAATTTAGGGCTAAGAGAAGTGTGGAAACATACCAGCTTTGAAATCTTTAAATTAAGAAATTGGTAAGATGAGATTTCAACCATTAATGAAGGATGTAGTTTGAGGCATGTGCCTTTCCCAATGCCTCTTAAATCATAGCACATAGGCAAGTGCTTATTTTGGCTACTTTAAAATGTCCTTTGTTTATCATTCATAATGTTAGTCTTGTCACAGTTTGAGGGGGTATTCTCTAGAATTGTTTGGTAGATGGTAAGTGTACACATGGTGAAATTTGAAGCAGTGCTGCCTGCTGCTGGTTTTTACAATATTACCAAGAAATGTTTTGCAGTAACTCTGGGTATTGGCATGAGCACCTTGTATTACAAATTATACAGCAATTCAGAGCTCAGCATTTTTAGATGGCTAGTGGGTTTGGATAGTAAATTCTTGTTCACATTCTCTAGTAGGTAATGTTTGAATAATTGTTAAACAACTTTTTATTTTGCTTAAAGCACATTGTTTCAGCACTATACTATTTTGCTGTTTCCCAAATTCTTGCCCTAAATTCCAAAATCTTACAATCAAGTGTATGTCCTCCCAATACTCAACTTGGAACAGTTGTAATCAGGATAGCTTTTATTTTGAGTCTTCTAGAAATCCTTATTGGAATTTCCATGTGAATACTCTTTTAAACAGATGGCTTGTTTTCCCTTTATTCCTAGCTTGGCTCCTGCCCTTTGAGGCTGGAGCTTCTGTGAAATCCCAATTTTTATTTAAAAGAATTATGTGTTAGGTTGGTGCAAAAGTAATTGCGGATTTTGCCATACTTTTAACGGCAAAAACCACAAATATTATTGCACCAACCTATAAGAGCAGGGCAGTGCAGGCCGGTGTGCTCTGCATGGGGCTGCTTGCCTTGCCCTGGGGCTTTTCACATCAGGGTAACTAGAACCTGTGTTCCAGTTCTCAATTAACCTTTGTTCAGACCCGAGGGAACCTGCTTCCAGGAATCAGTTATATCTGAGACCATTCAGGAGTTGTGGACATTAACTTGAAAGAAACAGTCTATTCAAGACTCTTATAGAGACAGGAGGCAGAGCAAGATGGCCAATAGACCCCACCAGCGATCATCCTCCCTTTCTACCCCCACAGGAATACCAAATCAAAAAACTATCCACACGAGAAAGCACCTTCATGAGAACCAAAAATCAGGTGAGTGATCACAGTACCTGGTTTTAACATTGTATCAAGGAAAGAGGCACTGAAGAGGGCAGAAAAGACAGTCTTGAATTGCTGATGTGCACCCCTCCCTCATCCTCCAGCAGCGGCCAGCTCCGTGGTGCAGAGAGAGAATCTATGTACTTGTGGGACTTCTCATTGGAACTCAGTGCTGCCCTGTCCAGCGGAAAGCAACACAGGGCAGGATTCAGCTGGTGTCCACGGAGGGAGCATTTAGAACAGTGATAGCCGGAGGGGAGTCATCTGTCCCAGCAGTTGGGTTCCAGCTAGCCTCACCAACACTAGCTAAAGAGTAGTGGGGTCCTAAATAGATTTGAAAGGCAGCCTAAGTCACAAAGACTACAATTCCCTGGCAAGTCCTGGTGCTGTGCTTGGCTCAGAGCCAGTGGACTTGGGGTACACAGGACCTAGTGAGACACCAGCTGGAGTGGCCAAAGGAGTACTTGTGTCACCCATCCGCCCACCCCAGGCAGCCTAGCTCACAGCTCTGGGAGAGACTCCTTTCCCTTGATGACAGGAGAGGGAGGAGTAAAGAGGACTTTGTCTTTCTTACAACTTGGATACCAGCTTCGCCACAATATAATAAAACATCAAGCAGAGTCCTGAAGCCCGCATGACAGGCCCTAACTCCTGGACAACATTTCTAGACCTACCCTGGGTCAGAAGGGAATCCGCAGCCCTGAAGGGAAGGACCCAGTTCTGGCAGGATTCATCACCCGCTGTCTAAAGAGTCCTTGGGCCTTGAATAAACATCAGTGGTAGGCAGGCAGTACTCTGGAAAACTAAATTTGAACCAATCAAAAATAATAATAACCACAACAACTTTTCAACATATGAAAGTATAAGATATAAATATGTTATACTGGGTGTGGTGACCCATACCTTTAATCTCAGCACTTTGGGAGGCTGAAGCAGGAGGATGGCTTGAGCCCAGGAGTTTGAGACCAGCCAGACCCCATCTCTACAAAAAAATAAAGAAACCAGCCAGGCATGGTGGCATGTGCCTGTGGTCCAAGCTACTTGGGAGGCTGAGGTGAGAGAATCACTTATGCCTGGGAGGTCAAGGCTGCAGTGAGCCATAACCACACCACTGCACTCCAACCCAGGCAACAGACCAAGACCCTGTCTCAAAAATTATTTAAGGTTATTTATTAACACTTGTGGATAGTGCTGTGATATCCATAATCTCTATTAATATGGGACACAACATTCTGTTTGTAGGCTTTAGGCTAGCCTGTACTTTCAGCTTTCTGAACACAACCTTTAAATAAGTACTTAAACAGAGAATAACTAGAGTTTAAAATAGATTCATTGTGGTTTGTTTGGAATTCTCTTCTTTAAAAAAAAAGTGTTGCTTTTTTTTTTTTTTTTTTTTTAGTAGAAACAGGGTCTCAGTATGTTTCCCAGGCTGGTCTCGAACTCCTGGCCTCAAACAATCCTCCCTCCTTGGGCTCCCAAAGTGCTGAGATTAGAGGCATGAGCCACCATACCTGGCCTTGGAATACTTCTAATACTTGACAAATTTTATCATATGTGACTTTCGGAGGTTTGTATCACACGAATTGTTTCCAATAGAGCTTTAGTATCCCTAAATAAGTTCATGGTAAGATTAATATGGTTTTCCATTATGTCAAACATTTATATATTCTTTCTTTCACAGGAACTACTTGCTCTTTTCTTTCATCATTCCAAGCAGTAGCTCCATCTTCTAATTAATCAGCTTTAGGAGCTTCTTTATTTACTGTTTGGTTAAATCCCCATTCTTCTGCAACCTCCTGTTTAATAGCATTGATTTTTTGCTGTAGTTAGCAAGTTTCCTTCTTCAGTGGCCTGCTGCCAGCTGCAGCATTTTGTTCATTTTATCTAATTTCCTCTACTTAATAGGGATGCAAAGAGGGTATTGAGGGGAGTTGTGGGGATCCTTTGCTGGCTTATCTTTTATTTTGTCATTTTCTAGTTGAGTGGCTTAATAAGAATAGCATAATTCCATTCCTCTTGTCTATTTAATGTGAATCCTGGGAAATGTCACTGGGTGATTGGGTGACTTGTATTTCCCAAACCTCTCTGAGACTATTGTTGTTGTGGCACTTGAACTTTTTCTGTGGTGCCTAATGACTGGATAGTAACACTTATTTCACTGCCAACAGTGTGAGATTGACTTTTGATTAAAGCAACAACTTTAATTTTTGCTTTTCCTCTTCTTATTTTTGTCACAGTAATCAAGACTTCAAACACATTCATTTTATTTTCTTGCTTTGGGGATTGTAAAATCATCTTAAAGGGAATAAAATGGCAACCATTCTATGATGAGGAGCCATGGGTATTTCACTAAAGTTTTGTGATAACTGCAGGAGTTCAGGGGAATATGAGTTGCTACGTTAAATGAGTACCTCCCTCCAACCAGATTGTTGCTTGCAGCATCCCTCCACTGAGCCTATTTGTAAGCCTTAGAGAGGAACATGTGATTGAGGAAACTGCCCTACATGTCGATCTTTCAACCCTTGATCTACGTGGCTTGGAGACCATCCAGGTGAGGCTTTGAAATCTAATGGTAGATATTATCTAACTGTGGGGGAGGGGTGAGCTGACCTAGGACAAATGACCTATAGGATGTCATATTTTGAAAGGATGGTTATTATTAGTGGTATTATTAGCTTTATTAATGAGTAAGAACCCCATTAAGAAAGGAAAAGCAAAAGGAGGAAAGCCATAGGAAAATAAAATAGCATACTGACTCCTCCTGTTCTATCCTACCCACTGTTATCTATAAGGGATTGTGAATGATGATGATGCAAGGTGAATAATATATTAGCCCCCCACCATAAAAGTTGACTAAGATAATATCTCCAGGAATCTTTATCATCATTTTCCTTAAAAAAAGGGTTCAGTCAAAACTTATACTGACAAAAACATACTATTAAAAATTACTAGAAAGATCGTCTTTGTTTTCTTATTTTTAAATTAGTTTTCATTTTAACCAAACCAGTTTGCCTAGATTGAACATGTCAGCAAAGGAGACATAAAACTCTTGATTGGTAAACCATTATAGCTTGAAGTTACAGATTGCAAAATGGATTAAAATGATAGGATGGTTTTAAGAGTAGGAAAAAAGCATGATAAGAGGTAGAAGGGATTGTTGGAGAAATTGTAAAGATAAATAACATAAATTCCAAGAACAAAAAAGAGAATAATGGTCTATACAAGAAATGGAGATAAAAATTTATTACCAGGAGAGTTAGAAATTTATAATAGATAGATAGCTAGATACATAGATAGACAGATAGATAGATAGATAAATAACCAAGACTAGAAAAGAAATAAAATATTGGTGCTTCCTCTCTATCTACCTTTACTCTCCAAAATATTTTTTTTCTGGAATAAAATAAAGAAAAAATATATTCATAAAGAGGGGGAAAAAGGAAATGAAGCATCTCAAAGCTCAAGGACTACAGAGTAGATTGCAAAGGGACTTGAATGAGAAGACATTAAAATAAAGAGTGTGGGGATGGGGGAAGACGTGAAAATGAAGGTACAAGGAATGGAGTGGATGGAAAGCAATATGTTAGGCAACACCATCTGGGAAAAAGTGAGCGGGGAAGAAGTGACAGCTTTGAAGTTACTGTTAGATAAGATGGATTATTAAAACATCTGAAATCTTTGGGCTGAATTTCAAACTTTATACTACAAAAAAAGATTGATCAAAATTAACTACCTCTGAAGTTTTTGAGCTCTTGGTTTGAATTCACAGAAAAATAAACTCTCAATTGGAATCTTATTTAACAGCAACCACCCACTCCAATCCAGTATTCACTTAGTACAGTAGAGTAGAGCAAGCACTGAATATGAATTGAGTAGTTTAGGTTTTCTAACGATTCAAACCACTGTTAATGAAAATGTGTCCCTTTTTATGACTGCCTTAAGTGATGAATAATGAACTGCTTTATCTTCCTCCCTCTATACCTTCATATCTGGATACAGTGAACTGAGCATTTATGCACATTCAGAAACAAGGGTTTCTGGTTTGTGGACAGCTTTATCCTTCGATTCTTTTGTTATTACTGCTTTACAAGTATGATCCCTTTGATTTTTCCCTACAGCTTTAGGGGATAGACCCCATTTGTAACTTGAGAAGACAAAGCCAGAGGATCAAAATGGCAGTATGAAGATTCAGCTTGGAGCTTGTGATTTCCTTTGAAAATTGACACTCTTGTCAACAAATATTTATTCATTATATAATGCAGATTGGATATGTAAAAGTATCTAATTAAGATGTGGAGCAGAGCACTTCTTTGGCCACTTTTATAGAATGTGAAGTAGTAGGCACAGTGTAGGTAATTGATTTTCTTCTATCACTCTGCAAGTAGGAGAAAAGAGGTAGGAGGTAGGTATTGTGTGAGAACTGGGTGTCTCTATTTTCAATCCAGTATTTCCTCTGAAACCCCTCTGCTTCTTACTTCAGAGTCCACTCTTTAAGTCAGCCCAGGGACTATAGTCATGTAAACAATAAAATCTAGCGACCAATTAAACATTATATCTATCCCCAAAACAACTGTTTCTCCTAAAACCACAGCAGTTTCTGCCAGGCTGGATACCCAAAGCCTCCAACTAAAATGAAAGCTGAACTTCATCCATTACCAAATAGAGAAACCCTTGGAATACATGTTTGTGTTCTCACTGAGCTTATTGGTATTAAAAACTGAGCTAGGCAATTTTTATGTTTTCTAATTTAATTGTCAAATCAGGGGTGACACCAGATGTATTTTTGTTTGTTTTTGTTTTTGAGATGAAGTCTCACTCTGTTACCCAGGCTGGAGTGCAGTAGTATGATCTTGGCTTACTGCAACCTGCACCTCCCAGGCTCAAGTGATCCTCCCACCTCAGCCTTCCCAGTAGCTGGGACCACAGGTGTGCACCACCACATCCGGCTAATTTTTGTATTTTTGGTAGAGATAGGGTTTCCCCATGTTGCCCAGGCTGGTCTTGAACTCCTGAGCTCAAGCAATCCACCTGCCTCTGCCTCCCAAAGTGCTGGGATTACAGGCATGAGCCACCATGCCCGGCCAGATTTCTAATTTGATTACAAATCTAAGAGATTTTGCCAATTGTGGGAATATTTCTTCAAGGAAGACAACAACATATGCCTTCATGGCTATATCATAATATTCCTCAGGAATGTAGATAGGTAATTAACTTTAAAGGAGTTTTCGGTTTAAATCAGTACATCCATCAGTAAATGATTCCGCATATCCTGAATTAGTATATACCACTCAGAGGAGAAAAACATTATTCATGTGTGTATGAGCATTTTCATTTTCACTGCAGCAATGTATATCATTTCTTTTTTCTGGGTTCTAAGAAATGCTGCTGCAAAATGCACCCCAGATTTCAGGTGAAAATCCGATGGCTGGCTTGTAAGAAGCTGCTCATTAAATATGTACATCAGCTAAAATCCAAAGGAAACATATTTCACGATCTCTGCCTATTTATTCATCCTCTCCTAAGAGAATTGACATCTTCTGTGTCTTCTATGTGATTACTTACTGCAATTTCTGATTCAGTGCTTGGTCAGTAATTAGGCAGATGGGCAAGAAGGGTTCTAGCACTTCTAGCTGACTCAGATGACTCAGCAGCTGCAAAGATTAATCATTTAGTCTCTGACAATGTGGACTGTGAATGAATGTGTAGGTGTGAATATGAAGGAGCAAAGAGACCTAGAGACAGAAAGGGAGATGGAGAGATAATAGTGATTCATGGCAAGTATAAAAACAGAAGTAATTTTAAAAGCAATGGGTGGCAGTCTATAAATAATTCCATTTAACTCATCACTCAGGAGAAATTGTTGTGCTTGATGCTACCAAATATTTTTCCTTTAAAAACCCTGTTTGGATGATCTGTATGCCTTTTCATTTTAGAGTTTCTATGATTAGTGCTATGTCAATGAGATCTAAAGACAGAAAAATATAAGGTGAAGTAATAAAAAATAAGTATAAATATAATTTTCCCATCCAGTATTTGAGTTAGCAACAGCAGAGGGAAAATTGATTTTCTTCCCTTGAAATAAACAAAAAGAGCTTTCAGAATTATGTTTATGGGAAATAATTAAACATACTTTAAACGTTAGAGCTTTTAATAGTGCATTCGAGAAGTTCTCAAATGGGTTTGGATTTATCAGTGATATCAACATTTTAAAATGCCATGCCTAGCATGTATGTAAGTTGTGGAGTGCAACCTAATGATCTGATTAGTATAACTGTGAGTGAACCTCTGCAAGGGTTGTGCAGAGGCCTGGCAAAGCACATTCTCATTTGGCCTTTCTTTGCAATGCACATGCACTAATTGGGTATTGCCAGGAGTGTGGGATTGAAAGGGGCACTGAACCCAGAGTGTCTATTTGCCCCTAAGTGCTAACCAACATGATCCTTTTACTGGTTTACTTATTCTTTCAGTTTATTTTTTTTAAGTCCATTGCAGAAGCCCTTGAGTATACATACATAATTAATAACATGAGCCTCTTTGTTCAGGCACTTAAGCACTTGTCCAAACAGGGAGAATCACATTATTAGATAGGGGAAGAAAGGGAGGAGATGTCCCCGGGCAATATTTTATAAACTATAAAGGTTCTTTTCTGTCATTGATCATATCTGACAGGGGATGGGGTTTGATAGGTTAAAATTAAAAGGGGAGAAAAATGAGAGTGTGTGACTGCTATCAATCTGTAACAGAAGCTCCAGAGATTCTGGCTGCTGCTGCCTGTGGCATGTGATTTAAAGGGTACTGGAGCAAGCCCCAAATTTATCTCTCAAAATCTTCCATAGTGCCTAAAAGTGTCACACTTTGGAGTTAAGAAGATGTGGAATGCTCCTGTAATGGACCTCATTTGCTACCTCAGAACAGAAACTCATTAGGTCATTATCATTTATTAATATCTTAGCCCGAGTTATTTTCTCAGATCAGTTTCAATCGCCTAGCAAGGCCTTGGGAGGAAAGAACACTATAATTGAGTGTTACTAATGAGATATAGGAGGAGAAAGGTCCAGATAATAGATGGCTCTTTCAGCCAAATGGGTTTGGGAGGGAAACCTGGGCATTTGGGAGGATGATGCAAAGGCAATCTGGGCCTAGGCATCATAGGGGTATGGTCCAGATGAGAAGAGGGAGAGAAAGAAGACACATACACAAGGCCAAAAAGCCTGTCTTCTTCATTTATAGCTTAGCTGAGCACAGTAGCCTTTTTCTAATGTACTGTCCTTTTATTTATGGCATCTATTTTCTTCAGTGTCTGTTGAGAAGAGGATGGCCATGATAGTAAAAGATGACATTTAGCTGTCATAGCCACCTCCTCTCCCTTTCGAGTCCACTTGTTTTCAGGGTTATAGACAGGGGAAAAAGATAGAAAACAGCCTGGCTTACAGAAGGCAAAGACATTTGTCCTCTCCTGTGGACATTGAATATAAATTCAAGGAGAAGTCTTGAGAATGAGTGGAGTATAATATAATATAAATTAATTGGAAACAATTTTATCAACCTCTTTGGGTTAGCAGACTGCTTAGTGAAAAGCCATGTGTAAGAGAGTTTATGAAATGATGAGAAACTTTTGTCTCTATGGTCTAGGTAGCTATGGAAATTGAGGGGAAAATATCAGCCTCAACCAAGTAGAGTGAATCAGCAGGATTAACTTGCAGAAATCTATTATTATTAAACTTTAAAATGTTGACTTTGCATGAAATCTGGCTGTGAAAAAGAGTGACATTGATAAAGAGCTGGAAATTGTATACAATGAGTAATTCATTGGTGTTTTTTAACCCCTGAACACCTCATTTTCAGGCATGAATTAACAAGGAAAAAAGGACATTGCTTCTGTGTGGTCCTGAACAGAGGATTGTAAAAAACAAAAGCATTCCTGGTGCTTTGTTAAAATGCAGGTTCTCATCTTCTAAGCTGAATATATCTTTTATTATTATCAAATGGCTCTTTAGCTCATTTACTTTTTGAAAATAGCATTCTATTTGGTTTAAGACTTGGGAAAACTGGAGGAACTTTCCTGAAAATGGACCCAAATACTCATCAAGAAGGAGACTAGCCCTAACATAATTAAGGCTATTCTGTCTGAGGAAGAGAAGGATAAGGAATTTCTGTCCACAAGAAAATGAAGGCAGTTTATGTAAAGAAAAAGGAGAGACTCATCACTTATCTTCTATGACCATGGAAAATTTGCAGAGGGAAAAAAATCCTTAGTTTTATAGCAGGACAGATCTTGGTTGGCCAAAAACAACTTTTTAAACATTACGTTGAAAAAAAGACACCCATGGGAATGAAAACTATGTGAGAAAGATTGTAGAGTCTCTAAGAGTTCTTTTTTTTTTTTTCACCAATGAAAATTACCTTTTATGCCAAAAGCCAGGAAAACCACAATTTGAATGAGGTAACCACAAACAACTTAAGCTGACACCAGGAAAAATCAGACGTTGAGATTATCTGACAAGAATTTTAAAGCAGCCATCATAAATTGGATCCAAAAATCAATAATAAATTCTTTTGAAACAAATTAAAAAATAGCAAACCTCAGTAAAGAAATAGAAGTTATTTTTAAAATGACCAAATGGAAGCTACACAACTGAAAAGTGCAATTAATTTTTTTTTTTAATTCACGGGATGAACCCAATAGCAGAGTGCCGATGAGAGGTTGAAATCCTGGAGCTGCTGTGCATGGCCATGCACCACCTGCTGTAATGGAAGCAGCGTCCATGTTCCAGGCAGGGAGCCACCTGTGCAGGTGTCAGTGTCAGCTCTGCCCATTCAAGCGTAAAACTATCATCCTTTGCAATAGAACTGCATCACGTTACTTCCAAGAATTAATTCACTAATTATAGGATCTTATCCAAATCCCTTCATTTGAATATGTGAAAACTAGAATTCAAAGAGGGGAGCTGATTTGCCTGAATTTGTACTGTAGCACTGGGCCTAAGCCAACATTCCTCTATAATGTTGGCTTTGACACCCAATATGATTCCCCCACAATTTCATATGCTAATGCTTCTCATATATGAGACACTGGGACACAGCTTCACTGGGACACAACTTCTTTTTGGGAAGAAATGAAAAAGGTATTTGAGGTCTTAACATGGTAACACCATGAAGTTAAATCCTTCAGTAGGAGAATCAGATTTAGCTAAAATTTACCAGGATGCCCAGTTAATAAAGTTTGCCAGATAAAATACAAGGTTATCCATTAAATTTAAATTTCATATAAAAATTATTTTAGTATAAATATATCCAAAATATTTAGCATTGGCATTGGATATACTTGTACTAAAAATTACTCATTTTTATCTGAAATTCAAATTTAACTGGGAAGCCTCTATTTTTAAATTTTTTTAAAATTTTAATAAATTCATAAGAGTTGTACATATTTATGGGGTACATGTGATATTTTGATACAAGCAGACTATGTGTAATGAACATTTATCACCTCAAACATTTCTCATTTCTTTGTGTTGGAAGCATTACGAATCCACTCCTCAGTTATTTTGAAATATCCAATAAATTATTGTTAACTTTAGTCTCCCTATTGTGCTACCAAACCACTAGATTATATTCCTTCTATTTAACTGTATTCTTGTACCCATTAACCATTCCCTCTTTACCCCTCCTCCTCAATACCCTTCCTAGCCTTTCTTTATCTCCATGATTCAAATATTTCACCTTCCACATATGAGTGAGAACATGCAATATTTATCTTTCTGTACTTGGCTTATACTTCTTCCAGTTCCATCCATGTTGTTGCAAATGACAGAATTTCACTATTTTTTATAGATGAGTAATATTTCATTGTGTGTATATACCATATTTTCTCTATCCATTCATCTGGTGATATACACATAGATTGAATCCATATCTTGGCAACTGTGAATAGTGCTGCAATAAACATGGGAGGGCAGATATCTCTTCAATATACTGATTTCCCTTCTTTTGAATGTATGTCTAGAAGTGGGATTGTTGAATTATATGATAGTTCTATTTTTAGTTTTTTGAGGAACCTTCATACTGTACTGTATGAAGTGACTACACATCATGGCTGCACCAATTTACATTCCCACAAACAGTGTACGAGAGTTCCTCTTTCTCCGCATCTTCACCAGCATCCATTATTATTTATTTTTCTGAAAAAAAAAAAACATTTTAACAGGGGTGAGAAGATATCTCATTGTGCTTTTGATACACATTATTCTGATGATTAGTGATGTTGACCACTTTTCATATACCTATGGGCTGTTTGAATGTTGTCTTTGAGAAATGTCTATTCAGATTATTGGCCTACTTTTAATCGGATTATTTGTTTTTTATTATTAATTTTGTTCCCTTTATATTCTGGTTCATAATCCCTTGTCAGTTGAATAGTTTACAAATATTTTCTCCCATTCTGTAGGTTGACTCTTTATTTATTGTTTCTTTGTTGTGAGAAGTTTTTTTCAGCTTTATGGGATCCCATTTGTCCATTTTTGCTTTGACTGCCTGTGCTTTTGAGGTCTTACTCATTGGCCAAGGCCAATGTTATGAAACATTTCCCCAAATTTCAATTTAGGAACTTCATAGTTTCAGGTCTTACATTTAAGTCTTTAACCTGTTTTGATTTGATTTTTGTATATGGTGAGAGATAGGTGCCTAGTTTCATTCTTCCGCATATGAATATCCAGTTTTCCCAGCATTTTTTATTGAAGAGACTGCCTTTACCTCAAAGTATGTTCTTGGTGCTTTTGTCAAAAATGAATTGGCAACCCTCTTCTTCAGGTTCTACCTCCTTTGCTCCTGATCCCTGGTAGCAGGCAGACCAACTGTACAGGAAGATTTCCTTCACAAGTAACTTGTATTTGACTTTTTCTTATTATTATTTCTTCTGTTGTTGGGCTAAAATCAAGGTGGAAGCAGGTCTGTCTTCCATTCTAGAAGCTCTAGAGGAGAAGCAGTTCCCTTGTTTTTTCTAACATATAGAGGCCTCCGTAATCCTTGGTTCATGGTCCCTTTCCATCTTTAAAGCCAGTTACAGCAGGTTGAGTCCTTCTCACATTGCATCACTCTAACCTCCTCTTCTGACTTTCTTTTCCACTTTTCTAAGAGTTCTCAAGAAGTAATAATCATAAGATATACAGGAATTCGTTATAATATTCATCACAACTTTTAATCATGAAGATGTTTAAAAATAATCTGAAATGAGTAATGATACCATTGTGGGACAATTTCTTTTTAAAATTTATCTGTGTTTAATTGGAAAAAACTACTTTAAAGTTCATATGGAACCAAAAAAGAGCCCGCATTGCCAAGACAATCCTAAGCCAAAAGAACAAAGCTGGAGGCATCACACTACCTGACTTCAAACTATACTACAAAGCTACAGCAACCAAAACAGCATGGTACTGGTACCAAAACAGAGATATAGATAAATGGAATAGAACAGAGGCCCCAGAAATAACATCACACATCTACAAATTTCTGATCTTTGACAAACCTGACAAAAACTAGCAATAGGAAAAGGATTCCCTATTTAATAAATGATGCTGGGAAAACTGGCTAGCCATAAGTAGAAAGCTGAAACTGGATCCCTTCCTTACACCTTATACAAAAATTAATTCAAGATAGATTAAAAACTTAAATGTTAGACCTAAAACCATAAAAAACCCTAGAAGAAAACCAAGGCAACACCATTCAAGACATAGAAATGTGCAAAGACTTCATGTCTAAAACACCAAAAGCAATGGCAACAAAAGCCAAAATTGACAAATGGGATCTAATTAAACTAAAGAACTTCTGCACAGCAAAAGAAACTACCATCAGAGTGAACAGGCAACCTACAGAATGGGAGAAAATTTTTGCAATCTACCCATCTGACAAAAGGCTAATATCCAGAATCTATGAAGGACTTAAACAAATTTACAAGAAAAAATCAAACAACCTCATCAAAAAGTGGTCAAAGGATATGAACAGACACTTTTCAAAAAAAGACATTTACACAGCCAACAGACACATGAAAAAATTCTCATCATCACTGGCCATCAGAGAAATGCAAATCAAAACCACAATGAGATACCATCTCACACCAGTTAAAATGGTGATCATTAAAAAGTCAGGAAACAACAGGTGCTGGAGATGATGTGGAGAAATAGGAATGCTTTTACACTGTTGGTGGGAGTGTACACTAGTTCAACCATTGTGGAAGACAGTGTGGCGATTCCTCAAGGATCTAGAACTAGAAATACCATTTGACCCAGCCATCCCATTACTGGGTATATACCCAAAGGATTATAAATCATGCTATTATAAAGACACATGCACACGTATGTTTATTGCAGCACTATTCACAATAGCACAGACTTGGAACCAACCCAAATGTCCATCAGTGATATACTGGATTAAGAAAATATGGCACATATACACCATGGAATACTATGCAGCCATAAAAAAGGATGAGTTCATGTCCTTTGTAGCGACATGGATGAAGCTGGAAACCATCATTCTGTGCAAACTATCACAAGGACAGAAAACCAAACACTGCATGTTCTCACTTATAAGTGAGAACTCAACAATGAGAACACTTGGACACAGGAAGGGGAACATCATACACTGGGACCTGTCATGGGGTGGGGGGATGGGGGAGGGATAGCATTAGGAGAAATGCCTAATGTAAATGAGTTAATGGGTGCAGCAAACCAACACAGCACATGTATACATACGTAACAAACCTGCACGTTGTGCACATGTACCCTAGAACTTAAAGTATAATAATAAAAAAAATTATCTGTGTTTTCTGATAATCCTACAATTAACACTATAGTTTAATAATTAGACTAAAAGGTGATTAAAATGTGTTAATGTTGAGAGATGAAGGAAAAATCTCTATTTTCCATAGTTTGGAGACTTCTACATCTTCTTACCAAAATCGTTTTGATACTTTTCTCTAGTTTTTCTTTCTGATATTTTCTATTTTATTCTGATAAACCCTTAAAATGTTATTCAATACCCCATTTTAAGTGTCAATGTTGTACCATATTAAGTGCATAGATACAAACATGACTAAAGCACAAGCCTCTACCTTCACATTACTTACAGTCTTATGGGGAACATAGAGAAGTGAAGAAAACAATCGGGTACATATCACAGCAAAGTTTTGAGTAGGCTGTTATGGAAACTCAGAAGAGTAAAGTCCTGGAGGGGTTCTTAATGTAAAGTCTTCAAGAAGAAATCTGGGTGAGATGAGTAAGAGATGTCCTAGGTAAAGAGGAAGAAAACAGCGTATTTCAGGCAGAGAGGCATTATTTGCAAAAGGACTGTGTTGTGAAAGTGCTGACCATCTAGGATATGTTGAGAAGTTCTGTGAAGAATAGTCAAAGTTGACATCTAGGTTTCTGGGTTACGACAATGAGGTGGATGATGAGATCATTTACTGGCAATGGAGAAACAAAGTGGGAGGAGCAGTTCTGGCAATTTGAAGTTAAAGATAGAGGTTGACAAATTCAGTTTGGGATATGTTGAATGGAGTAGCCTGAGGGAAGTTTAAGTGGGAGATATCTCATAGTTTAAAAGGGAGATTTGGGCCGGAGATTAAATTTGTGATTTATTAGCATATAGGAATAAGATTACATAAGGAAGAGAATGTAAAATGAAAAAAGTCAAGGACTGAGGATAGAACACTAAGAAACATCAACATTTAAAGGACTTTTGGGCCTGGTGCGGTGGCTTACGCTTGTAATCTCAGCACTTTGGGAGGCCGAGGCAGGTGGATCACTTGAGGTCAGGAGTTCAAGACCAGCCTGGCCAACATGGTGAAACCCCGTCTCTACCAAAAAATACAGAAAATAGCTGGGCATTGTGGCATGTGCCTGTAATCCCAGGGAGGCTAAGGCAGGAGAATAGCTTGAGCCCAGGAGGCGGAGGTTGCAGTGAGGCCAGATGGCACCACTGCACTCCAGCTTGGGCAATAGAGTGAGACTCCACCTCAAAACAACAACAACAACAACAACAACAACAACAAGGAAAAAAAAAGGACTGTTGAAAGAAGTAGTGATCTCCCCCCCAAAAAAGACAGGGAAGCGGCAGCTACATAGATAGGAGGAAAGGCAGGATAGTGTCTTAGAAACCAAAAGAATTTCAGTAAGAGGGAAAGGTCCATGTGACCACTGGATATTACATTGGTCATTACTGACTTTGGCAATGTCAATGAATCAATGAAGTGGATACAATATTATAGTAAATTAAAGAATAAATGATATGAGTGGACATTGAAACAATTAGGATAGGCAACTCTTTAATGAAACTTGGCTATTATGCATAATCAAAGATTTTTGCAGTAAGTAGTGTGGGCATCAAATCAAGGGGAGCCTTTTTTTTTTTAAGATGGAGAGTTAAGTATGTTTCAGTGCTGTTGGGAAGATATGGTAGGGAGGGAAAGGACAAAGATTCAGGAGAGAGAAACAGAGCAGGCATGCTTGGGATGGGGGACTTGATGAAGTGATGGCAATCTGAGACATCAGGAAACAATAGGTTCAAGAGTATATGTGGAAGTATTAGCCTTGTATTAGAGTAGATCACCTCTTCTATTGTTACAGAAAAAGGAACGGAGCCTGAGTGTTGAGCAGGGGTGTTTATAGGTGGCAGGGCAGAACATCTGAAGGGTTCTCTTATGATGGTTTTTAACTTTTCCACATAATAAGAGGTGAAATTATCTGAAGGGACTGTGGGGCAGAGGGGTAGTAGTGGTAGGAAAGTAGAGAAGGTTTGAAAGAGCTGTTATTAAGAGAGAACAATAGGAAGATAACTGGGTGGCATTGGAAGCAAGTTCAGATTAAAGACCAAGAACTTGCAGTAGACTAATTTGTAATTTTCTCCAACAACATTCAGGAGCTCAGCACAGTAGGGCCAGAGAGGTGGACATTTGGATTGATACATTGCTTGGATTTTATCATGTGGATCCTACATAAGGACAATGAATAAGAAAGGTGAGGAAATGGTCAAAAGAATAATTGAAATATTTGATAGTGGGATTTAGGCTGTATAGAGAAGTTAAGACAGGAATAGTCTATTCCATTTTTCCCCTGATTGGGTTTCCAAGAGAGTTGTAGTTCAAGCAAGCAGGCAGGCAGTAGAATTACATAGTTTCTAGGTTCTTAAAGTATGTCAAAACATCAGTAATTTTTATCACATGGCAGGGCCACTGAGTATGTTATACAGTCTTACCAGAAGGGAAAAGATGGAAATCATGTCCTGGAAAGGAACAAATGTTAAATATAAAATGCTAAATCCTTGAAACTAATATTTTAGTGGAAGAGAACTGGGAGAGAAAACTGGCCAATATGCAAGTATCTGGGATGACAGAGCAAGTAGTAGAGCAAAAGCATGAGTTCTAGACTTGGTAAATTCTGGAGCCATAATGCAAAGTGCTGGTAGTAGCTTTGTATTTTGGTCCAGCTCTAACTTGAACAGGTGTGTCCAATTGACTTAGAGGCATAAGAACAGTGACAAAGAGAGAATTTGGTAGTACTTTGTGGCTGACTTGATGTAACAAGTGAAGAAAAGAGATAAATCATAGATGGGAGAATGTTACAAGTGATGGAGGTGACAGGGAAAAGATATTTATTTGGAAAATATGATGAATTCTATTTTGGAATTGACAAATGTAATAATTAATAATCAAGTAAACATATTCAGCAGGAATTATGAGGGTGGAGGTAGCCTGAAGATTTAACTTTGAGGAGAGAGGCCATTTCTCTTACTGTCTCCTGTCTTCAAAGAAAAGGAGGAAGTAAAAACTGAAAAATAACAGACTGATTGGTGCCACTGGCCAGGCCTGTAGGTTAAAGATTAACCCCCACCTTAACCACTTGTGCTACCTATAGATCACAGACAATGGTATGGAGAAATACTTGCCTTGCTCACCATCCGCACCTCATCACGTATCCCATGCTTGCTCAATCTATCACGACTCTTTCATGTGGATCCCTTAGAATTGTAAGCTCTTAAAAGGGCCAGGAACTCTTTCTCTGGGGAGCTTCGTTCTTGAGATGCAAGTCTGCCGACGCTCCCAGCCAAATATAGCCACTTCTTTCTTTAACCTGGTGTCTGAGTGGTTTTGTCCGCGGATTTTCCTGCTACGTTTCAGCTGTCATCAACACAGATGTCATAGAAGCCATTAAAATGCATGAAATTTCTAGGGTAAAGAAGGAAAAAAGAGCAGGAGCATTGGAAAATAAGTCCACAGAAAGGTGTAGAAGGAAGAGTAACCAGTGACGTTAATAAAGAATAAGTATATGGCGAGAAAGGAAAAGAATAAAGATAGTGGTATGGAGGTCAATGAAACAAAATTTCAAGGTGGAAGTGATGGGCAACAACATGCCGTGAAGAGAGAATGTGGATTTCTTAACAAGAAGGTCACTGGTAAACTGTGAGAAAGCAGTTGCCCTAGTGAGGTGGAGCAGAAATAAAACCAAAGTGATATCTAGAGGGAGAGGTTATATAGAAAGAGGAATAAGCTCATGTAGATTATTTGAGAAGTTTGACCATGAAACAAAAATAAAATAAGGTGATAGCTAGAGGGAGTAGTAAGATTAAATAATGGTTGTTTTTCTGGTTTGGGAAGACCTATGCCTCTAGGAAGTTGTTAAAGATTCAAATATTTGATTATTATTACATACATGCTCTGGCTGTAAAATTTTCTAGTTATTCACCAAATCCATCAAGCCATCAACTAACATACGGAGCCAATAAAGACCTTTAGTCAATTGTGCATTGTGCATTTGTGTTAGGATACTAATGCTACATCCATGTCAGCTCATGTTTAATAATTTATAATTTACCCTCACAATGTTTTTCTTTAATTTTATTTTTTGGGAATAGGTTCCCAAGAGTTTACATGGCAGTATCAATGATTATATTATAAACACACAGGCTAGTTTCGGGGCTTGGAATACTAAAGATATTTAATGCTTTTAACTAACAGTTCTAAACCTTAGTACTTAGAAATCATTTTTTCAAACACTTATTTCTGAATGTGGAAATGCAAAAATCTTCATCAATTTTTATAAACACAATTCATTTAGAAGCAGTTCAGCTATGTAAATATACATTGGCACTGAATAGAGAAACTATATTATTTTGTTTTATTGTTGGGGCAGAGTAGAAGAACAGTGAGGAAAGGAATGAGTAGCCACTTTTATTGGAAATTAGTTTGTTTTTGTACCTCATTCTTCATTATGTTCTCCCTTTACCACAGTGGTGAGTAGTGATTAAGGGCACAGCTTTAGGACTCAAACAGATTTCAATTCCAGTTTGAGCTATGCCACTAATTAGTTGTGGGCAATTCACATTTTTGAACTTCAGTTTTCTTATCTGCAAAATGGGGATAATGATACCTACTTTATAGAATTTTCATGATTTAATTAGGTAACTTAAGTGAAGAATCGAGCATATTACCTAGATTTTTTTCCTTTTCTTCCTGCATTTTATTCTTCTTCAAAACTAACCACTCTCATCTATAAAATTGGATGCTATTTTTGTTGTTTTTATTCATATCAGCCACAATGCTTATTGTCAACTATTAACTCAGTCCAGGGTGACTAACAATCATGAGTTTGGTGTCTTGGTAATTGATTCTAACAGCTAATGGGAAAAAATGTTTTCAAAGAGTACCTTTAAAAAATGAGAAAAAAAAGATATCATTATACAGTAGTAATGATTATTTACCTCTAATAGGAAGAACACTATTTTTCTATTATATTAAATTACATTACAGTATTGAAGAGAGCTGAAAAAGGAAAGAGATAGGGAGACATTATTTTGATGGAGAAAAATGTTCTGTCACATATCCATTCCTTAGAATGAAGATCTGCCCTTTCAGAAATATGCCTTGCAATTTCTCTCATCACTAAATGTTTCTTAAAAGGGATAAAAATTGTTTTTCAACCTAGTTATTTGGGGGCATTTAAATAAAAATAGAAATGGTGCAAATATATTAGAACCATTCTTTTTAAAAATATTTGAATGGAATTATTTAATATATGATTGATTATAGCACACCCCCAATTCAATGTCAGCTGCATTGAATCCTTTTTAGAATTAAGTATAAATTAGGAATGAATAAAATAAAAATTAAATGTCAGGCTTCAGCTGTCCTCTGTCCCACATAAATCCAAGTGTTTAAGATTCCAAATTAATTTCACTTACTTCTATACTATGGAAATTAAAATGCCAAGTATCTTCTCAACACATAAATACTTTAATCTCCACAAACCCTAAATACTTTGATATAATCTATTTTTTTAATTTTATCACAAACTTACATGGATATAATAATATACTAGTTTATTATGACTTAATATGTATTGAATGCTGTAAATTGGGTTCACAGTCCAAGTTAATTACTCATGTTGATATTTGTAGCATCTAAATGCTGTATGATTAGGCACAATCTAATTATTGATAGAGGGGACATAGACAATTGGCTGGTGGCCCAGAAGGTCCGGGCTGAGGTGGAAGGGTATATGTATGCTGATAACTGCCCAGGGACAGAGACAGTTCTAAGATGGAAATACCAGGAATTTAAGTAAGAAAGTATAAGTGAACATCCCAGGAGAAAATAAAGGAAGAGGGAATAAGTTGGCCTATTTTCCCTTCTGTGCCTGAGGAATATGTAAGTCCTACACTTTGTAAGGGGTGAAGTCTCATTCACCCTTTCTTTCGCATTATCTTCCTCTTGTTCAAGAGAAAGAACTGGCCTAAAGAGTTGCTGGGTTATTTGTTTGTTTATCTTTGTAGTATATTACAGTCAGCATAAAGCTATCTCTGGACCCCCAGAGAGCGAGAGTTAAGGTGACATCTCCTATTCTGGGAACTTCTGTCCCCATTCTGTCCCCTCCCCTTCCTCATGTACTGAGTTGCCTTGTTTCCCAGCTTTACCACTGTTCCAGCCAGACTCACATTTTTTTTCCAGGTTGTACTCCAGGGGGAAAACACTTACAGATAGTAGCTATTTTGAGGTGCAATGAGTTTTAGAAGGACACAGTGTAGAGCATCTGGCTGTAGAGCTGACTCCAGTTTAAGCCTGTGCTGTTGCATCCATTCTTTGAACATTAGCAAAGACCTGAGAATCAGGTAAGAACATCAATAAACAAGGCTTTGGGTTTTATTAGGCAGTGAACAAGGGGTAGGAATGTTGAATGTCTTAGTGTCATGACTGTATGCAGACTCATCAAATAGGTGTATCATGTTTGAGACTTTCTTTAAGGAATGTATACTCAAAGAATTCTGCTTTTGTCAGTATAGAGGTTTGGGGAAGTGAGATAAGATTGGGATGCTAAACAAGTTTGACAAGTTGAAATGGGTAAAAATAATCAAGACAAAGTCAATTAAAAGTAAGTTCACTGAGGGAAGAATACCAGATTACAGATGAGTACAAGATGGTCCTGGATTCATTATATATAAGTATAGCAAATAACTGCATTAGGCCTGTGGGAGTAATAGGTAAAAAAAAAAAAAAAAAAGCCAGTAATGGAATGCCCTATGGTTGTAAATGTGAACACTATCTTATATATAGATATATTAATAGCATGAAGGGGCTGAGATGTAATCTTGCTATATTCTGTATTAGGTTTTTGTCATGTCTTCCAGGTGGAATAATGTATTCACTTTCAGCATCTATGGTCTAACTGAGACGTGGAGTATTTATTTATCTTTTTACTTCAATAATTTCAACTTTTATTTTAGATTCAGGGGGCATTTAGAGAAGGGCCAGGGTAAGCTAGCCAAAGTGATTCCTTTGAAAGTTGTAGAAAATTGCCCTTGTAAAAGAAATTTAAGAGAACTGAAGGATTAGCTTAACCACAAGTCTTCAAATAGTTGGAAAGGTATTGGGGTAGAAGGGGTGGATCAGACAGCTGTTCAACATTTCCATCCAAGTCAGACTAGATGAGATAAGCTTTAATTATAGTGAGGCAAGTCAGAAGTTTATTTTTTATGTAACATTTCTCCTCACTCCACAATACTAAAAAAGTAGATGTATTTAAAAGTAAAGATAGATTTAAAATTTTCCCCTTTGAGATTTCTCTGAATAATGCAAATAGCTACCTTTATGAAATGACTTTAGTACAGATTGGCCACATATATGGCTAAGTGGGTCTATTAGAATTTTGCAAAACCTTGTAAGTAATAGAAACTTGTGAATTAAGGTTCAACCACCAGTTCAAAGGGGAAAATTGGACTCCCAATCATTCATTTTGTTTCTCATAATTTTGATATCATTTGCCCTCAGGGGTGTTTTTAACCCCTGAGGGTTTCATAGATGTTAAGATTTCCCAGACTCTCTTTTACATTTGACACTATTTAACACCAACCTTTTTTCCAGTTTTCAGTATGCCTATACATTTGTCATTTGTTTATCCTGACTTTCTAGGCTGTGTTCTAGCAAAATAGAAATGATATATGTGAAAATATTTCTAGTTAATCATCACATTTCAGATTTATTAGATTATTGTAGTTCTTGCTAAGTTTTCTACCTCTAGAATCTTTCTTCATGTCCAAAGCAGATGTTTGTGAAAATTGGCTCAAATAAAGTGAATGGCTAAGCTGCTCTCAAGCCATTTTTTATTCTGTACTGACATAAATGTTGACAACATAAACTTACCTTAAGAAGTAAAATGATAAATTGAAGAAAAGATAGAATTTTGATCGTGCTACTAACTCTAAGTATATATGATTGAGCACTGTGGTAGGCATGATAAAGGGATGTTTATTTTTCTTTCTTCCAATTTCACCATGGTTATATTTCAATAACCGAGGCTGGCTAACTAAACAACTAGTGACTTCAGGCAATTAGCTACTTGTTTGGGCTTGAAGATACTCAACACTCACTTTTGACTATTTCTTTTCACTGAAATTTTCAGTGGAAATTTCTCAGTTAATTGCTTCATGCAAAGTAAACTGGAGAATTAGAGTAATTATCCACCTGATTTAACAAAAAGGTGACCTCTTTGGCCTCAATTATAGCACCTGGATATTTTAAGCAAAATTCAAGTTTTGCTTGAAACTAGGAAAATATTGGTGTTAAATATTTACAAAAGTAACATTTGTTCAGAAAACTGCCTAAATCCTCAACTTCTATGTTGTGTTAATATTAACAGCCATAGTGCTAATTAATGAAAAATATAGTATACTGTAGATTTTTGAAAAAAAAGGCATTGTTTGAAGACAATTGGCAATACTAAACTATCCTTGTGAAAGCAAGCTTATTAGGAAAGGGGAAAAGGTGACAGAAATTCTAAGCTGGCTTTTGTAGTTACTGGTGTAAAATGGTACCAAAAAATGTGTAATAAGGAAAAAAAGGGGCTCAAAACTCGATATTTTAAAACATCTCTCCAAGAAGAGTGCTGTAGTGACAGAGATTTAATAAAATTTACAACTGTCAGAATAGCACAGCACCCCCCAGTAGGGCAGTAGGGGCTAACGAGTATCAATTATGCAGGAAAGGCTCAGGTGAACAGAGCAGAATCAAAATGAAGCTCTTAAGGATTCTTATACTCACTGAAGACATTGTGAAAGAAAGATCTCATAAATCATGGGGCTAAAACAAGGCTGTTAGCAACTAATCTATTGTTACACAGAATAACTATAGATATAACAGGGGCTTGCATCCAGGATGGTTACTTGGATCTTTCCTGTGGAGTTGGAACTAGGGTAGTCAAGAAAGAGAATAATTTAAATGAATAATCAAAAGTAGTAGGCTTGATTAGGTCTGATAGAGATTATGTCTGGAGGGAACAGATAGTAAAGAAATTTCCATGGCAATAAGGTTTTCTCAGAAGAAATGGGCTGGAAGTGAAAGTAAAGGGATAGAAGGTGGGGTTTGGCAGAGGTATCTTTGCTCGACAGAGGTTTTTGCAAAAGGAGCAGATGATTCTGGACCAAATGTTGCAATGAGGGTATTTCCCAAATAGAAGAGTTATGCTGAAAGAACTTTGTAGCCAAATGTTGCTGGCAACAGGATGGCTAAGATCCTTCTCTTTATACACTATGCACCAAGTGAGCTGTTCTGGCTATAAAGAGTCCCAGCATTTGGGGATAAGAGTCTATGCCTTCCTTAGTCCAGTAGTTCCTGCCTTGAGCCTACCCTTAAATCCGATATAGTGAAAAAAGATTCTGAAAATTCTGACAGGAACTGGACGGGAGTCAAAGGAGGTGGAAGTTGTCACTTTGTTATCCTTTTGAGTCAAGCCAGACTCCTTGCAGGATCACATAATTACTTTAATAATTTCAACTTTTATTTTAGATTCAGGGGGCATTTAGAGACACTAACAACTCAGGCTCAATGGGGAAAAGTACTGACAATGTAAACTGAGTTTTATATTCTGATATTTTAATCATAATTTTGTTTCTATAAATTACACCTTTTCATCTTATTTAGTCAGTTCCAGAGCAGACTAAAGCATGAAATAATCATAAATACATTAGCTATAAACAAGTTATTCCTCCCAACGATTGAAATAAAAAAGACCTGCCAGAGCACGCATCAGTGATAATACAGAGTTCATTTATATAAGTCTTATAAAGTCAGGTTAAGTAAATGTTTTCTGGCAGTTTGATTTTTATGTCTGAAAACAAGATAGGATTATTTATCATGATGAATTAATATTTCTAAATCAGAATCTTTATTCAAGTAAGTGGGACACACTATATACAATGGATCTAATTCTCTTCTATTTATTAGGTGTGTAAATCAAAATGCAGATTATTTTAGAAGTACAAGTAGAAAAGTAAAAATGTTTTTAAAATTGCAAGCATATTAGCATCTATGCTAGATGAAAATCATCTAATCTAAACAGAGCCCTGTGCTCCCGATAAAGGTTAGAGTGTTGGTTCTAATTAAGGTGAGATCAACAGTGCATTGTTACCTTTCCATAGTGCACATGCAATAAATAGGTGATATTAATCAAGCCTGAGTAGATAGATAGCCATATCAGAGTAAGACAGTTAGGAGTGATAAGTATCATTATTTGAGAAGTTAACGGAGATGCAAGGATTAAATAAATAAATTCTAATGACTCCATACAATATGTTCTAAATAATTCCTTAGCATTTTTATTAGACATACTCAGCAGTTCTAGCACCACGTTTATATGATATTCTATTGTAAGGGAATTGACAATCAGAACATATGATTATCACTGTTTATGTAAGAAGTTGAACTAAGGGAAGTGACAATCAGAACATATGATTTATGTAAGAATGTGAACTTAGTCAAAACCACCACGGACCATATGCCATGAGAGGTGAGTAGCTGGAGTTTAACATGCTCAGTAAAGTGAGATAGCCACTTTGGAACAAACTTAGCTGCATATAATAAAAGACTAGAAGGCAGGTAAAAATGTCCAGAGGGCATAGTAGTAACTAGTAGGTGTTAATCAAAGTAGTATTAGGAAGGTAGTAAGTAAGTGTTCCCTAAAACAGAGGATAGACTAAAAGTAGAAGGGCTGGGAGACAGGATATTAGGGATGATATAAGGCATGAGTGAGAAGGGGACAAAGGGATGGGGGCTGGGCCTGGTATGAAGGGAATGAGGGTGTTAAGGAGACAGTGCAAAGGAGGGAGAAGGACAGTTTTATTGAGGGGGCAGGAATGAGATAAGAGAGTCAATAGGGAGTGCAAAGGGGCTAATGGAGTCTGAATCCAGAGTGGGGAGAGAAGAAAATGGGAAGGCAGAAGTGGGAGGGAATTTGGAAAAGAATAAAGGGAGGGTGAGGGAGGTGGGACTTTGTGAAGGCAACCAGCTGGTTATTACAATTAGATGTACTCCAAATAAAGAGAATGGATAGCGTCTGTGGATAATTTAACTTCTATTAATTTAAGTCATTTATTTAATGCCCATTTCTTTGCTCCAGTGAATATAAACAATGTGGTGCCTCCAATTGTTTTTGGGTATAGCCAGGGTAAATAAATTATAAATGTAAAATATTAATAGATATTTCTAACTCTTTCACTATTAATTTACTTTCCCCCCAAAAAATATGTATAATTAAGATTAAGCAACAACAGGATAACTTGCAATGGCATAAAGCCACCTGGTTGGGAGGGGTGTTAGTTACTAAACAGACTGGTATTATGGCTATCTTTTCTCTTTGAAGAAGTTTAGAATGTTGCTCTTTTTCTGAAACATGTTCATCTGCAAATTGTGATAATGTGAAAATGTAATAATCTAGTAATCAGAAACTTAGTACCACAGGCCCAAGTGATCATAAGAAACTGAAAATAGCAGCATTTGAGAAGCAGTATAACCTTTCCATAGTGCACATGCAATAAATGTATTTGCTTTTACTTTAAGCAAGTATTTTCAACATTAGTATTTGTTGTATCTACACATACAACAAATACTATGTTCATTTCTATGATACTGAATATGAATATTACATTTTAAATATATTACATTTCCCAAATATACGTTTTTACCACATATATTTTAAACACATTCCAGATAAAAGGAATCTAAGTGCACTCAAATAATGATTTCCATTCCTCTTGTATATGTTTACCAAATGTGAGTAAAATGTATTTAAGAAATGTAAGTCATTTTTCTGCCATTTACTAAAGCAATCTAAGGTATGTTTTGCCACCTCCAAATAACACATATAGATATTAAAATTTCCAAATTTGCATGTGCTTCTTTCTGAGAGTATTGATCAAAATCTGTTCAGGTGGAGCAATTGACCTTAGGGTATAGCATATCAAGACAATCACTCTGGACTCACCATTTTCACAAGCTCTGCATTATTGCAGGGAATATGTTGCATAGATACTCTAGGATGACAGGAACTCAGTATTTTTGAGGGAGGAAAAATCAGGTGACATTATAGGCTATTAGTAAAAACTATATGAGATACTCTTCTATAATTGGCACATAAACACTCCCACCCATAACAAAGGGAACCAGAGCTAGTTTGCTCACAAAGTTTTCCTCACCTTTAAATACTCTCCTTGAACCTCAAAACGTCCTTTTGCAAAATCTATTTGTACTCCTCTACCTTCAAGCCTTTTAACATTACCCTTCACTTTTGTTCATAATTTGTGCATTTATGTGCATTTTTCCATTCTTTTGGCTTGTTTGATGTCCTATTTTATAAGTGAGGTTTACTGAAGAATATTTTTTGTAGAATAAAACACATTTTTAGGATACAGTTATATGTTTTGATAAACACATATAATCATGTAACCACAACCACAGAACATTTGTATCAACCCCAAAACATGTGGCCCTTTGAACAAAACCCTTGCCTTTTATCTGCAACCCTTGGCAACCACTGGTCTGTTTTTAGGCCCTACAGTTTACATTTTCTAAGATGTTATACAAATGAAATCGCAGAGTATGAAGCTTTTCAAGGCCATCCTTTGCACTTGAAATAATGTAATTGCAATTCATCCAATTGTTTGCAGGTACCAGTAGTTTATTCTTTTTTATTGCTGAGTAGTATTCCTTTGAATGGATGTACCACATTTTGTTTATCCTTTCTACAGTTGAAGGATTTTTGGTGTTTTCAAGATTTTGGAAATTATTATTAAAGCTGCTATAAACATTCACACAAAATTTATTGTGTGAATGTACATTTTCATCTCCTCAGCTAATATTTGTGAATGGTATGCTAGGTTATATAAGTGTATGTTTAACTTTGTAGGAAACCTCTGAACTGTTTTCCAAAGTGCCTGCACCATTTTGCATTCCCACCAGAAAGTTAAGGTAGTTCCAGCTGATACTGATTTTCTTCAATATTTAATATTTTCAGTTTTTTCCTAGTTGTTTGCCTTTTAGTCATTCTAATAGGTGTACAATGATGTCCTATTGTGGTTTTAATGTGGATTTCTTAATAGCTAATGGTGTTTAACATTTTTTCACATGGTTTGTTCCCATTGGTACATCTTCTTTGGTGGAGTGTTTGTCAAATCATTTATACATTTTACAAGTTGTTTTTCTCATAATTATTGAATTTTGAGTTCCTTTTATTTTCTTTCTTTCTTTCTTTCTTTTTTTTTTTTTGAGACAGAGTCTTGCACTGTTGCCCAGCCTGGAGTGCAGTGGCATGATCTCGGCTCACTGCAAGCTCCACCTCCTGGGTTCATACCATTCATTCTCCTGCCTCAGCCTCCCGAGTAGCTGGGACTACAGGCACCTGCCACCACGCCCAGATAATTTTTTTGTACTTTTAGTAGAGACGGGGTTTCACCGTGTTAGCCAGGATGGTCTCGATCTCCTCACCTCGTGATCTGCCTGCCTCGGCCTCCCGAAGTGCTGGGATTACAGGCGTGAGCCACCACGCCTGGCCAAATTTTGAGTTTCTTATGTATTCTGGATACAAGATCCTTTTCAGATATAAGATTTGAAAATATTTTTTTCTTTCTATGGCCTATCTTATCATTCTCTTAATGGTGTTTTGTAAGAGAAGGTATTTTGAATTTTGATGAAGTCTAGTTTTTGCTTGTATGAATCATGCTTTTAGTGCCAAATCTAAGAAATCTTTACCCATCCAAGGAACACAAAAATTTTCTTCTCATTTATTTTTTTCTAGAAATGTTATATATTTTAGGTTTTGTACCTATGTTTATAATCCATTTTGAGTTTTTCTTTGTATATATTGCAAGCAATGGATCAAACTTCATTTTCCTCCACATGGATATCCAAATTTTTCCAGCACCCTTTGTTGAAAAATCTATTCTTTCTCCACTGAATTACCTTTCCAATTCTGTAAAATCTCAGTTGGCCATGTACATTTGGGCCTATTTCTGAATGTATTATAATCCATTGACCTATTTGTCTATCTTTCTTTTAATTTTTAAAATTTATTTTTTAAATAAATTGTATAAATTTAAGGAGTACAAGGGCAGTTTTGTTACATGGATGGATTGTGTAGTGGTTTGGGCTTATAGCATATCCATTGCCCAAATGGTGTATATTGTAGCCATTAAGTAACTTCTCATCCATCACCTTCATCTCACCCTACCACTCTAAGGAGTATCCAGTGTCTTTCATTCCATACTGTATGTCCATGCATACCCATTATTTAGCTCCTACTTATAAGTGAGAAAATGTGGTAGTTGACACTCTGTTTTTGAATTATTTCACTTAAGATAATGGCCTCCAGTTCCATCCATGTTCCTGCAAAAGACATGACTTCATTTTTTTGTGATTGAGTAGTATTCCATTGTGCATATATGCCACATTTTTTTAATCCAATCACCTGTTGATGGACACTTATGTTGATTACATATCTTTGCTCTTGTAAATATTGCTGTGGTGAACATAGAAGTGCAAGTATCTTTTTTATATAATGATTTATTTTCCTTTGGGTAGATACCCAGTAGTAGTGAGAGCTGGATCAAATGGCAGATCTATTTTTAGTTCTTCAAGAAATATTCATACTGTTTTCTATAGAGGTCTTACTAATTTACGTTCCCACCAACAGTTTATAAGTGTTTCCCTTTCTGCATATCCTTGCCAACAACTGTTAGGTTTTTTTGGTGTTTTTTGTTTGTTTACTTTTTATAATAGCCATTCTGACTACTGCCAGATGATATCTCACTGGGGTTGCAAGTATTTCCTCTCATTCTGCAGGCTGTCTATACACTCTGTTGACTATTTATTTTGCTGGGTGGAAGCTTTATAGTTTAAGTTCCACTTGCCTATATTTGTACTTGTTGCCTGTGCTTATGAGGTATTAGTCATGAATTCCTTGACTACAACAATATCCAGAGTTTTCTTTAAGTTTTTGTCTGGTATTTTAAAAGTTTCAGTTCTTTCATTTAAGTGTTTTTTTTTCTTCAACTTTTATTTTAAGTTCAGGAGTACATGTGCACAATGTGCAGGTTTGTTGCATAGGTAAATATGTGCCATGGTGGTTTGCTGCACAGATCATCCCATCACCTAGGTATTAAGTTCAGCATCCATAAGCTATTCTTCCTGATGCTCTCCCTTCCCGCAATGACCCCCTCCGACAGGCCGCAGTGTCTGTTGTCCCATCCCATGTGTCCATGTGTTCTCATTACTTGACTCCAATTTACAGGTGAGAAAAGGCAGTGTTTGGTTTCCTGTTCCTGTGTTAGTTTGCTGAGGATAATGGCTTCCAGCTCCATCCATGGCCCTGCCAAGGACATATTCTCATTCCTTTTTATGACTGCATAGTATTCCAAGCCCTAGGGAGAACAGCTTGGAGGTTCCTCAAAAAACTATATATAGAGAGATGCCATACAATTTGGCAACTGCACTGCTGGGTATACATCCCAAAGAAAGGAAATTAGTATATTGAATAGATAACTGCACTCCCATGTTTGTTGCAGCACTATTCACAATAGCTAAGATTTGGAAGGAACCTAAGTGTCCATCGACAGATGAATAAATAAAGAAAATGTGGTACTTACACATAATGGAGTACTCTTCAGCTATAAAAAGGATGAGATGCTGACATTTGCAACAACGCGGATGGAACTGGAGATGATTATATTAAGTGAAATAAGCCAGGCACAAAAAAAGCAACATTGCATGTTCTCAGTTAATTGTGGGATCAAAAAATCAAAACAATTGAACTCATGGACATAGAGAGCAGAAAGATGGTTATCATAGGTTGAGAATGGTAGTGAGGAGCCAGGGATGAGTTGGGGATGGTTAATGGGTGCAAAAAGATAGTTAGAAAGCATGAAAAATACCTTCTATTTGATAGCACAATAAGGTGATTATAGTCAATAACAATTGTACATTTAAAAATAATTAAAAGTGTAACTGGATTCTTTGTAACACTAAGAATAAATGCTTAAGGGGATGGGTATCCCATTCTCCATTATGTTATTATTTCATATTTCATGCCTGTAATAAAACATGTCATGTATCCCATAAATATATACACCTACTATATACCCACAAAAGGTAAAAATAAAAAAGAAACTAAACAAGTAAAGTGATCCCTAAGAAACAATCAAATGATGCACCTCATGGAACTATAAAAGCAAGAAAAAACCTAACCCCAAATTAGTAGAAGGAAAGATGTAACAAATATTTGAGGACAACTAAGATAAACAAAGATTTTTAAAAATACAAAGGATCAATGACATGAAAAGATGGTTTCAAGAAAAGATAAACAAATGGATAAACCACCAGCTAGATTAAACAAAAAGAAGAAGAGAGAAGATCCCCCCAAATAAAATCAATGCTGAAAAAGGAAACATTACAATTGATACCACAGTAATAGAAAGGATCACTAGAAACTATTACGACAACTATATGCTAAGAAATTGGTAAGCCTAGAGGAAATGGATAATTTTCTAGGCACATACAAACCTATCGAGATTTAATAAGGAAGAAATAGAAAAACTTGAACAGACCAATAACGAGTAGTAAGATTGAATCAGTATTAGAAAGTCTAGTAACAAAGGAAAGCCCAGATCTGGTTGGCTTTACTGATGAATTTTACCAAACCTATAAAGAATAACTAACTCAAATTTTTCTAAGACTATTCCAAAAAATTAAAGAGGAGGAAATTCTTCTAAAGTCATACTATGAGGCCGCCATTACTCTGATATCAAAACCAGTCAATGATACAATGATAATAATTATAATAAAAAACGCTACAGGTCAATATCCCTGATAAACATAGGTACAAAAATCATCAACAAAATACCAGCAAAATGAATCCAAGAACACATGAAAAAGATAATACACCATTATAAAGTGGGATTTATCTCAGAGATTCAAGGATTTTTCAACATATGTAAATTAAAAAAAGATACATCACTTTAGCCGAATAAAGGACATAAACTATATGATCATCTGCATTTTAGATGGAGAAAACGTATTTAATAAAATTCAATATTAATTCATGATAAAAACTTTCAACAAATTAGACATAGAAGGAACATAACATAACAAAGGCCATATATGACAAAACCACAGCTAACATTACACTGAATGTGGAAGAGACAAAAGCCTTTTCTCTAAGAAATGTAACCAAACAAAGATGCCCACTTTTACCAGTCTTATTTAACAGAATACTGTAAGTCCTAGAAAGAGCATTCAGGCAAGAGAAAGAAAGACGGGGCATCCAAATTGGAAATGAGAAAGTCAAATTGTCCCTATTTGTAGCTGATATGATCATATATATAGAAAAGCCTAAAAGCTGGCTGGGAGTGGTGGCTGACACCTGAAATCCTAGCAGCTTGGGAAGCCAAGGCGATGGATCACCTGAGGTTGGGGGTTTGAGACCAGCCTGGCCAACATGGCGAAACCCCGTCTCTACTAAAAATACAAAAATTAGCCGGCCATGGTGGTGCATGCCTGTAATCCCAGCTACTCGGGAGGCTGAGGCAGGAGAATTGTGTGAACTTGGGAGGCAGAGGTTGCAGTGAGGCAAGATCACGCCACTGGATTCCAGCCTGGGGGACAGAGTGAGACTCTGTCTCAATTGTGGGGGAAAAAAGCCTAAAGGCTTCATCGATAAACTCTTAGAAATGATTAAAATTTCAGTAAAGTTGCAGAACACAAAATCAACATTAAAAAGTCAGTAGCATTTCTATGCACCAATTGTGAACTATCTGAAAAAGAAATCAAGAAAGCAGTTCCATTTATAGTATCTACAAAAAAATAAAATACCTAGCAATAAATTTAACGAGGAGAAGGAGCTCTACAGCAAAAGCTAAAAAACACTGATAAAAGAAATTGAAGATGACACAAACAAATGAAAAGACATCTCATGTTTACGAATTGCAAGAATTAATATTATTAAAATAACCATACTATCCAAAGCAAGCTACAGATTGAATGTAATCCCTATCAAAATACCAATGATATTCTTCACAGAAATAGAAAATAAAAACAATTCTAAAATTTATATGGAACCACTAAAGACCCCAAATAGCCAAAGCAATATTCAACAAGAACAAAGCTGGAGGCATCAGAAAACCTGACTTCAAATTATGCTGCAAAGCCATAGTAACCCAAACAGCATGGTATTGGTATAAAAACAAACAGTAGACCAATGGAACAGATCAGCAAGTGGAGAAATAAATTCATGTTTTTAAAATCAACTGATTTTTGACAAAGGTGCCAAGACCATTCATTTAAAAAAGGACACTGTCTTCAAAAGAGGGTGCTGGAAATACTGTATATCCATGATCCATATACAGAAGAATGAAACTAGATCCTTATCTCTCACTACATACAAAATTCAACTCAAAATGGATTAGAGACTTAAAAATAAGACCCAAAACTATACAGCTACTAGAAAAAAAATGTAGAGGAAACACTTCATGACCTTGGTTAAGGCAAAGATTTTTAGGGCAAAGACTTAGATAACACAGGCAAAGCAAAGGAAATAATCAACAGAGTGAAGAAACAAACTTTAGAATGAGAGAAAATATTTTCAAGGTATTTATCCAACAAGGAATGACTATTTGCAATATACAAGAAACTCAACAGCAAACCGACAAACAATCCCACTTAAAAATGGGCAAAGCATCTGAACAGACATTTCTCAAAAGAAGACATGCAAATGGCCAACTGGTATATGAAAAAAATGTTCAACATCACTAATCATCAGGGAAATGTAAATGAAAACCATAATGAGATGTCATCTTACCCCAGTTAGAATGGCTATTACAAAAATATAAAAATTAACAGATGCTGGTGAGGATGGAGAGAAGAGGGAACTCTTATACACTGTGAGTGGAAATATAAATTAGTGCACTCATGGAAAACAGTATGGAGGTTTCTCAAAAAAATAAAAATAGAACTACTATATGATCCAGCAATCCTACTGCTGGGTACTTACCAACTGAAACGAAATTAGTATATCAAAGGGATACATGCACCCCTATTTTATTTTTTATTGTAGCACTATTCACAATAGCCAAAATACAGAACCAACCTAAGTGTCCATTGATGGATTAACAGATAAAGAAAATATGGTGCATATATACAATGGAGTACTATTAAGCCACAAAAAGAATAAAATCCTCTGACTTGCAGCAACATGATGGAATTGGAAGCTATTATGTTAAGTGAAATAAGCAAAGCACAGAAAGACAAATAGTGCATGTTCTCATTTATATATGGGAGCTAAAATTTTTATTTCATGGAGGTAAAGAGTCCAATGACGGTTTTCAGAAGCTGGGAAGGGTGGCGGTGTGAAGGGGTGTTGGTTAATGGGTACAAATATGCAGATGGATAAAGGGTATAAGTTCTAGTGTTTGAGAGTACAATCATGTGACTATAGTTAGTAATTTGTTGTATACTTCAAAGTAGCTAGAAGATTTGAAACGTTCCCAGTGCAGAGAAATGATGAGTCTTTGAGGTGATGGATATCCTAAATATGCTGATTTGATAATTACACACTTTATGCATGTATCAAAATATAGTATGTACTGCATAAATATGTAAAATTATTATGTATCAATAAAATCAAGAAAACATTTTTAAGATAAGTAATGTCTTTGTTGGACCTTCAATTAAGTGTAGGTTTTAATCTTGTTTTAATTAAATTTCCATTCAAGTATACTAGATCATACTCAAAGATGTAAACAGCAGGCAAGTTAGGTAGAAGCTGTGTTGCCTTTGTATAATTTTTATGGTTATATAGGATCTAGTTTTTTGAAAATGTTACGAGATTATAAGATTATTTTGAACAACATTTACTTTTGAAACTTTTTGTATAACATTTACTTTTAAAACCTTTCAAACCTAGTAGGTTGACTCACAAAAAAATTTAGTATCCAAATGAACTTTGAATCACTAAACGCAGAATGAAAATAATGAAAGTAATTCTGAGTTTTAGTGTGGAAAACCAACACTTGGTTTTAAACATCTCGTTTTGTATAAGGACTCTGTCGTAGGCCTACTTGGAGAATATGTATACTCCTACATTGGTCCAAATTAGGCCAAAATATGTGCCCCTTTTATGTAATGGAGGTCCAAATGTTACTTGGGATATTGAAATAACTCTCCACTTTCTATTTTTCAGAGACTCAAATTTACGTAAATGTGTGTATGGGCTCCCTTAATATTCAGAAGCCTAGTGAGGGGTGGGACTCTGAGTCCAAAAAAGGCTCTCTTTTTGAGGCCAGGCTTTGACTCAAATCAAATTATCTTCCAGGGAGCTATCCAGGGTACTAGACCATGTGTACCAAAGGTGTCATGATACCCTGGGCAAAAACTCTGCCCATTTCAATGTCTACCTATTTTCCTAATTTCAACTTGCTTATATCTGACTTATTGACCACAGGTAACCTAGAAATCTATCACTTGTTGCATGTGTTCTCAGTCTAAATGAATACTCTGCCTCTCTGTCTCCCTTTCTCTGTCTCTCTTTCTCTCTGTGGTATGTGTGTAAGATATATATATATATATCCATATATATATATGGATATATATATATGGATATATATATATGGATATATATATATGGATATATATATATGGATATATATATATGGATATATATATATGGATATATATATATGGATATATATATATGGATATATATATATGGATATATATATATGGATATATATATATGGATATATATATATGGATATATATATATGGATATATATATATGGATATATATATATGGATATATATATGGATATATATATATGGATATATATATATGGATATATATATATGGATATATATATATGGATATATATATATGGATATATATATATGGATATATATATATGGATATATATATATGGATATATATATATGGATATATATATGGATATATATATGGATATATATATATATGGATATATATATATGGATATATATATATGGATATATATATATACACATATATAATCTTTTGTAGACACCTCCAAATTTGCCCATTTTCATAGTCTGATTCCTTAACAGGGCATCAGAATAAAAGGCATTTTAATTATGTTCAACTATATAGACTAATAAGTTGTTATTAGCAGGCCAACTTTTCTTTGTATATAATGAGATCTTAAAGTGACATGCCTTAGGGACATTTTCCCCATTATCTTGGCGATTAACATTTGGCTCCTCGTTAATTATGCAAATTTCTGCAGTCAGCTTGAATTTCTCCTCAGAAAATTGGTTTTTCTATTCTATCACATCGTCAGGCTACAAATTTTCCAAACTTTCATGCTCTGCTTCCCTTTTAAACATAAGTTCCAATTCCAAATCGTCTCTTTGTGAATGCATAAAATTAAATGTTTCCAAGGGCACCCAAGTCACCTCTTGAATGATTTGTTTCTTAGAAATGTCTTCCATCATGTACCCTAACTGATCTCTCTCAAGTTCAAAGTTCCACAGATCTCTAGTGCAGTGGCAAAATGCCGTCAGTCTCTTTGTTAAAGCATAGCCAAGAGTCACCTTTATTCCAGTTCCCAACAATTACTCATCTCCATCTGAGACCACCCCAGCCTGGACTTCATTGTATCACTATCGGCATTTTGGTCAAAGCCATTTAACAAGTCTCTAGAAAGTTTCAAACATTCCCACATCTTCCTGTCTTCTTTTGAGCCCTCCAAGCTGTTCCAACCTCTGCCTGTTACATAGTTTGAAAGTCGCTTCCATATTTTCCAGTATGTTTATAGCAGCACCCCACTACCTTGGTACCAATTTATTGTATTAGTCTGTTTTCATACTGCTATAAAGAACTGCTCAAGACTGGGTAATTTATTTAAAAAATAGAGGTTTAATTGACTCACAGTTCATCATGGCTGGGGAGCCCCAGGAAACTTACAATCAAGGCAAAGGGGAAGCAAGGTACCTTCTTCACATGGCGTCTGGAAGAAGTGCCCAACAAAGGAAGGAAGAGCGCCTTATAAAACCATCAGATCTTGTTAGAACTCAGGCACTATCATGAGAACAGCATGGTGGAAACCACCCCCATGATTCACTTACCTCCACCTGGTCCCTCCCTTGACACATGGGGATTATGGGGATTATGGGGATTCAATTCAAGATGAGATTTGGGTGGGGACACAAAGCCTAACCATATCAGGTATGGATGGGATATGGGAATACCTAGAACGCTGAAAAAGAAAGAGGGTGGGACTGAACCTTGAAGTTCCAATAGGCAGAATTGGGAAGAGGAGGGATGATCCAGTAAAGGAGACAGAAAGATGTATAAGAGAAACAATGATGTAGGAGAAAAACAAACATTATTTCGTTCCAGAGGCCAAGTAAAGAAAATGTTTAAAGAAAGAGTAAGTCATGAACTTACATCAAATGCCAGCAAGTGTTCAAGCAAGCTGTCAATAACATGTTTTTGCTGACGGGAGAGATCCAGTAGAGAGAAAAAAATAGATGATGTTAGTGGGGGGGCGGGTTGCAGAACAAAGCCTTTGAGTAGGCAAGAAGGGATGGATGAGACCCAGCGCTCAAAAGGTTGGCAGTACCAGGCACAGCAGCTCAGGCCTGTAATCCCAGCACTTTGAGAGGCTGAGGTGGGCGGATCACAAGGTCAGGAGTTCGAGACCGGCCTGACCAACATGGTGAAACCCTGTCTCTACTAAAAATACAAAAATTAGCCGGGCGTGGTGGCGCACGCTTGTAATCCCAGCTACTCGGGAGGCTGAGTCAGAAGAATCGCTTGAACCCGGGAGGCAGAGGTTGCAGTGAGCCAAGATCGCGCCACTGCACTCCAGCCTGGGCAACAGAATGAGACTCTGTCTCAAAAAAAAAAAAAAAAAAAAGAAAAAGAAAAAAAGTTGGCCCTAGTTAATACTGTCAGTTCAGCCAAATATGAGTTTATGGGTGTGTGCGTGCACACACAGACACACACACTCTCACACATTTTCACGATTTATAGCCCCATGCACCCACTACTTTCGAAGCTTTGACTTTTAGAGAACCCTGTTCGTTAAGCTCACTTTCTCCTCGAGATTTTCAGCAGAGTAAGTGAGAGGACATTATCAGTTATCCTTGTTTGTAATTCAGTGCAATCTCTGTGGCCAGCTTTGCTTCATTAGCTCTTGAGACCAGATGATGAAATAAATGGAGGGCATAGGTCAACAGCCCTAGGTGTAGAAGGGTAAAGGGGGTGGTGTGCCTTTTATGAACGTTAGAAACCTCTCCAAGGTCCTGAGTTGGTTTAGCCGCTGTTACAGTTGCTCTTTTAAGTCTTTGAAGTGTCAAATGTGGAATAACTTTTAAACTTTCAGCTCTGAAGTGTTTTGATGAGAAGCATCTTGATTATCCCCCGTATAAGATTATACTTTATCTCTGTTATATCGCCAGCTCCCAGTACAATGTGTGGCTTAGAGTAGCGAAGTAGTAAAGCTCGCTTTGAAGAAGGTACTAAAAACTATGATTATTGTCACTACAGACCCAACATTCTCAGAGGGGGCTGGAGGATGGGCTAGCTTCGGAATCATGCCTTTGTTGCCACAAGTGGAGTTCATTAAGTGGCATATGTTTGCCTGTGTGTGTGCATGTGTGAAGAGAAACATTGTGTGTTATCAATAGTGTGAAGGCAACCAGCAGGAGCATCCTGAGAGGGACAAGTAAGGTGGGGGCTAGAGAGGACAGGTATATTTATTTTTTTAAATGGGGGTTATCCTGCCTTTACCTTCTAGGAGGATAATGTATGATGTACTAAAATCCCTGCCCTAGTATTTGTCACTAAGTATCGAAATGGGCGTGGTTTGGCATATAAGACACCTGCTCTTCGTGAGCCCTGCAAAGAGATACTCTTGGAGTCCTACCCTTACCCTGATTCCTCAAGTGCTCTGGAGGGTCCCCCAGTTCCAGCATCCTTTTTGAGAATCCTGCCGCCCGCCAGCAATGCTGCTCCGTGGACTTGAGAGGGCCTGCTGAGCATGTGTGAAGAGCGCTGCGCATGCTCCGTGGAGTGGGCAGGTTTACCGAGGCGCTAGCAGGGGCTTTTACTACTGTTCAGTCGCCTCCCCAGCCCAGCACGCCCCCCTCCCCTCTATCCCACCACCCACCACGCGGTCCCCCGCATCCACCCCGCCCCTCTATCCCGCCCCCTTCACCCCAAGCTGGGGAATCTCCATTGACGTTTGGGTGACGCCGCTGTGCCGCCGCCGTGGGGGGGTCCAGGCGCCGCACAGGTAACGCCGCCGCTGCCGCCATATTGACAGAGCAGGGAGCGGGGAGGGGACCCGAGGAAGTGGGGTGTTGGGGGAGTCACCACCGAGCGGCTGTCGTTGTGGTGGCAGTGGTGAGCGCGAGCCGAGCGGCAGCTCTTGGAGAGGCAGCACAGAGTTGTCTTCTCTATGGGAATCACCGGGCGGCGGCGGCGGCGACCCCCAGCTCCCAGCCTCTGAGAGACCCGGCGGCGAGGGCAGCGCTCGCTGAAGGCGGGGCTGGGGGTCGCGGCGGCGGCGGCGGCGGCGGCGGCGGCGGCGGGCCAGTTCAATAGACAGGATGCGCGGCCGCGCCAGCGGTAGGCGGCAGCTCCTGTTTGAGTGCTCCTGAAGGGGAGATGCTACCATTCGCTCCTCAGGACGAGCCCTGGGACCGAGAAATGGAAGTGTTCAGCGGCGGCGGCGCGAGCAGCGGCGAGGTTAGTGTGGTGGCCAAGACGGGCTGGAGCCAACCCCCGCCTCCTTCCCCTCAAGACCTTGGCTGGGGACGGAGAGAGGAGAGGCGTAGGGCCGGGAAGCGGGCTCCCGGGCAAGCCCCCTTGATGCTGCCTCCACTGCCCTTTCGCTGGGGAGCGGGCGGGGATGAGACGGCGGGCTCGGGCTTGCGGAGTGAGTGCAGCCTGGGCCCGGGCTCGGCCTTGGGCGGAGCGCCTGCCTGGCGGGCCACGCCAGAGTTGTTGTGACTAAGTTTCTTCACTTTCCGACCCGAAGGGGAACTGGGGGACTGGCGGGGTGCTGTGCCTGACTCCGCGCGTCCCTTTTTCTCCGCCGCGCCTAGTTTGCTGGCTGGGAACATTTTGGGGGACAGCTGCGGACTCCAGCTCGCTGTTGAACCCCGGACGCTTTACGAACCCAGTGCAACAAACACACCAAGGTGACTAAGTAACTCTGGGGACATTTGCACATAGGCACGAGTGTTCCCTGGTAACAGCTTTCTCGTTTCTCTGTGGCTTGTTATGGTTCCTTGTAATGACCCATGTCGAGATACACTGGCGACCTATCTCCAGTCGCCAGGTTTCAGGTGATGTTCTACTGCTTCCTCTCAGGTCCCCTTGATTCTACTGCACTCTTGCTCCACCCCTTCTCCTTTCCACAACCGCTGTCCCTGCCCCGTTGGTCTGTAAAAGAAGACGCAAAGTAAACCCCAGCCCTTATAAATAAGTCGAATCTTTGGTAAGACTTAGCGAGGTTCAACCAAAATACTTTGGTTCACCTCTCTTCCCACTCTTCTTACTCTGAAACTGTTCTGGTTGGGCTTTGGTCAGCTGTGCAGTGAGAACTTAGATGTACACAGGTGCTTTGTTTTTATTGTTGTTATAAAAGCGGGCAGCATTTAAACACAAAAACGTGTCTTTTGTGATAGAAAGTTGGATCCTTTTCTGATAACTTAATCGACTGCGTACTACTCCAGTAGAGGCCACCATACACCTCCTAAAAATAGTTGGTGAAATTGATTCACAGTAGGATATTTTGAGGTAAGACTCTCAATCCTCGACATCTAAAGGGTGCAACTTTGTCTTCAAGTACTTGCTCCATTTAAAAAAAATACACATTTGGCTGTTGTATGATTACCTTGTTTTTTTTTCTTTAAATTTTTTTGTTATTTATCAACTAAACTGGGGTTAAGATTACATGCTAGAATAACATGTGGTAAGGAATATAGTGGAAATAAATTCAGAAGTACCCTAAATCTGAACCCTCTATACTTACAGGAAATATTTTACTAGTAAACCAAGCAATTCCAATATACGTTTTAATATTTTACATCTCGTAAGAACAAGATAAATGAATAGGCGTTCCTTTCTTGTTGAAATGTGGGAATGCTAACTGTTTGCACAATTGTCTAGCAAGTCTATTGAAGGGGAGAGGAACTTTGTTATATTCATGTATGTAACTTACTGAACTTATAGGCATTTAGTTTATAAAAACAGTTAAATGCTTTGATATAAGGATGGGATGGGAGGTGGGAATCCTTTTGCATGCCTACTATTTTATTATTTCTGTTAACTTTGAATGTAGTATGTTTTAAATTGTAATTACCACATATGGTTTTTTTATTGTTTGCAGTATGTTTTAGGTATTGTAGAGATTTAACAATGGGTCTCTCTACCTCAGCAATTTGGAAAAATACTCGAGTGGAAATTGTTAATCCCTATGAAGTAAAACGAAAGGTGAAGGTAATGTGGTGAAGATAGTATTTCTGCCTTCTTTCTCTAAAACAGTTATGATTGGTTAGATTTAACCCTGCAAGTTACTTAATAAAAAATATTATAGGTGAAAACTAAATGCTACATTTGAACAGACCCACTTAGTACTTAGAAGAGTTTGTTTGTTTTTAATTATATTCTTTTGATAAGAAGTAAACAAGTTTACTTTTGATAATTTATATTTTAATTACAAATTTGTTGATGTTGGCTTTAAAAATGCTAATTTTGAGTACAAGCTCTACAACCCTCAATTGTGATAATTTTAGGACTAAGAGTGTTTTTGTTGTAGAATATATATTTTTAAAATGTGCTAGAATCCTTAAAGAAAATGTAGGTAAGAATCTGTTAACTTTAATGTCAAAAGAAATAATTTCCGTCCATTTCTGTGTGTGTTGAATCTGGTAAGATTAAAGATTATAGACACTACCATATATTTTGGAGTCTTTTTGTATCTTTTACCTGTCTTGCTTGCATGGACAGTTGTTAACCTTTGAATTATCATTCAGAAGTGTGTAAATTGGTTGTTTGAGACTCTTAACATGTTTTCCCACAGGAAAAACTTATTAAGGGTACTTATATTTTTAGATCAGTACATAATAGCGAGGTATAATGATGCCGAGCCTAACCACTGTTTGTAAAATTGTTCTGTGGTGAAATGTGTCAGGTTTCAACCAATAACTAGCTTGGTTCCAGTGAGAGGTAGAGAATGGGCCTGAAAAGGGGAAACCTGGAATCTTTTGGTTTCTGGGAAGAGAGTTCTTAGAAGAGGGGAAATAGGGTAAGCAAGAAACTGATTGTGAGAGCTCTTGCAGGGACTGTCTCAATGAGGTCTACTGGGAATAGGAACTTCAAAGGGCATCACCCCTCACGCAGTCACAATTTAAGCTTTTGACTGGATTCTGTCAGGATCAAGAAAGAGGTTTTACTTGAGATGGGATGGGTATTGGTCATTCCTGGGCAAGGATCATAAAGAACAACCTGTTTGACTAATGTGAACTTTTCATGATTTAATGCCATGCATGTTACAGTTTGTTCGCTTAGTTGTTTGTTTTTTGGTGAGGAACCAAGTGCTTCTTTATCAAGTTGATGATGTAATTTTCACATTTCATATCATAGTAAACGTGTAGTACTTTTATATTATTTCTTTAGCAATGCTGTTTTTATTTAAGCAAGTTAGTTTTTTTTTTTTTTTTTTTTTTTTGAGTCAGGGTCTTTCTATGTCATTGTACATTGTCCAGGCTGGCCTCGAACTCCTGGACTCAAACAATCCTCATGCCTCAGGTTCCCGAGTAGCTGGGACTACAGGTGCTCACAACCATGCCTGTCTAAACAAATTAGTTTTGAGAGTATGTAGTTTACTGATAAAACCAATTTGGGAAAAACTTCTAGTTTTAATTAATTTTCATGAGACCCTATAGTAATAGAGGAAAGAACAGCTTTGAAGGCAGGTAAATCTGGGTTCTTGTCCGAGCTCCATGCCATACTCATGATGTGACACAATCCACGTTACCTAACCTCTCTGAACCTCACTTTCTTTGTCTATAAGTTGGAGAAAAAACATCTTCAAGAGTTGTTATGTAAAGAAAATTCAGTGCTGGGTTTAATAAACTTAGCAAGATGTTTTGCACTTAGTCTCTAGTACACAATAGTTCCTTCTCTTTTCCCACAGTCATCATGCCTCTTCCCATGCCCCTAAAGTCTGAACTATTGTCATCTATGTTAAAATCCTGGGATTCAGATAACCATGGCCTTAGCCGCAGCCTTCCATTTCGTAAGCAGTTTTTCTTAAGACCCCTTCCTAAATTTGATCATTTCATCTAAGTATAGTGGTGCTCTCACTGTGAATGTTTGTAATCACAGATAGGGTGATCCAGAGATAAAATACAAAGTTATATTTAGAAACAGTGGAAGGATAAGAAGAGACAGATAATTTCATTTATTATATCTGGCTGATGAGGTGTTTCATTGAAATTTTTAATTTTTTAAAAAAATTCTGAACTCTTGTCATGGTAGGAATTGGTTCAATTCATGAAGCATTTATTGAGTACAAGGCAGTGCTGTACATAGTGCTGTAATGTGAAATGCCTAAAAATATACCACAGAGTCCCACCCTACCCCCACAGGTTTACATTCAGGTAGTAAGACAGGCATGTATGGAAATTGTTATTGTAAAAGGCACAAGATTATCAACAATGGGGTGGTGGTGGTGGTGGTGGGGGTGGTGGTGGTTTAGGAATGGATCTGGTAAGGCTTTGTGAAGGAGGTGGAATTTGAGCAGGGCATTAGAAAGTGATAATATTTTCACAGACAGATGAAAGGAGCATATTTCACGTGGATGGGCACAATATAAGAAAAGGCATGGAAATGTTCTGAAAGAAGGAAGAATCTGATACTGTTGTAAGTCTGTGATGTGGGAGAGGGGATATAGTGAGAGATAAGGAATGTATTAAAGGTAAGCTAGGCCCAGGTTGAATGGGACTTTTTAAGCCAGTTTAAGGGTTCAATTTTATCTCATAAATAGGAGCCACTGAAGGTTTTTGAGGACATGAGTGACATTATTAGATTTGTGCTTTGAAAAATAATTGACGGTAGTGAGGAATGGGGGAGATATGGAAGGTGGGGAATTCCAGCTAGGAGGCTATTGTGTTAGTGGAAGTAGTAGTGAGATTTTTGAACTAGTACAGAAGGGGTAGAAAAGAGATGACTGATGGGAGAGACCTGGCAGAGGTAGAATAGTTACAATTTGGTAACTGATTAGATGTTGGAGAGTAAAAAGAAATAACAAACAATTGAGATTAGAAGCGTCCTGGTAGGAATTAATTCAATGTAACAGGTATTTAATGCATACCTGCCAATATAAGTCTCTGTATTAGCCACCAGACTAATATAAAAATAAATAGATCTTTGCAGTATAGGGAGATAGAAAGCTAAAATGAAATCTCCCCTTTCTAATATTGTATTGAATAATAGCATTCCACTCTGAAGGTTTCTGATCGTGCTTAGAATGCTTAAATTCTTTACTACCAAAGGTGAATACACTTATTACTAGCTAAAACATTTTTAATTCTTTTTAAATGGGCCTTAGGCCTGTAATTCTTGTTTCACCAATGTTCATCTTCAGTAGTCAGCAGCCGTGAGTACAGAGTCCTATTCTGAAAATAATGACCAGTACTTATTTCTGGAATGTGGAAGGAGAGCAGGGACATCTGTATTTTTTCTATGCTTTCACCAGGTTTATTTGGAATAGACAAGCGGGGAGGAGTCAGAGGGCAGTGGCCCCTCCCTGCCACAGGTGCCTTCTCAGTTCCTCCAAGTCAATCTTTCTTTAAGCCAGTCTGATCTGGAAATATTCAGGTCAGTTCCTTCAGGGCAGGTCCTCTATATTTCCCTACCTTGATTAGTTCATCAAGAGAGCTAATCATTACCTCTGTGTTCCATGATAAGGCCTACTGATAGTGTAGTTGCTTTTCTGGGCCATATTGTTTTAGTACCTACCCTCTCATAGTCTCTCTCATCTAGAATTTTGATGAGGAAATGCAAGATTTTTTTCCCTTCCTGTAATTTCTTTCTTGGTGCTATCATTGTATGTAGCAGCGGTTCTTAAGATTTGATAAGCACTTGGAATCTTGAGGTATAAGCCTTTCAGTACTTTGTCAGAATTTGCTATGTAATGTTTATTCATTTATGTTATTTCCAAGGATTATTTACTGTTGCTGCCAATATTTTTTTTTGTTGTGTATTTTCTTTATTTTTGTTTGTTTTTAGGTAGGAAAGGAGTTAGATGGGAGAGAGATTTAGAGAGCTGAGCTAAATCTGGCTTTTGCAGATAAGAGACGTTTTCTAAATTGCCCTGGAGACATTCTGTAACTGATTTCACTGCTAGATTTTAATCTGTATCTCTACATTAGAAACAGGTCCTGCTGTAGTTTTGTGTGCACGTGTGTGTGTGTGTGTGTGTGTGTGTGTGAGAGAGAGAGAGAGAGAGAGAGAGAGACAGAGAAAGAGGGAAGGTGGAGTAGAGTGCATGTGTGTTACTTGTGATTTGCTTCATTTTACCAAGCATTTGAGATGGTATATGGGAAATATAATCTGATAACTATTTTGATATTGAGGATAAGGGAAAACAAAGTAGGAGATATATGAAAAGGGTGGAGGGTAGGGGATGAAGGGTAAAATAGAGCACAAATAAGCAGGCTGTAAGGGTCTATGACATGTTTAAAATATAGTTGAATTATAAATTTGGCCTTGAGTTTTCTTAGCTGGTTTTTCTCAACTCTGGCTGTGTGTTATATTTACCTGGGAGTGTAAAAAAATTATCCATGCCAGTGTTCCACTCAGAGATTCACATTTAACTAATCTAGAGGGGGCCTGGGCATCTATTCCCCAGATGCTTATGATGCACAGCCAGGGTTAAAAACCACAGCTCTAGGCCAAAGTAAAAAAAGAAATAGTCACGTAGTTGTCATTATTCAATAGGAAAAAAAGAATATTAATTTGTAAGCTAGCAATTAGCTCTGCAGTAAATTATCTGTGAATTGTGATATTTTTCTGTGTGTTTTATTTTGTTGTTGTTTTAAGATATGACTGGAGCCAAATTGGGTTGTTTGAACTGCCCTGTATGTTCTTGCTCTTTAGTTTTGAGGAATTTGCTTTTCCAGTAGCATTAAAAACAAAATTTAGTACCGTAGCTAGTTTTGATATAGTTCAGCCATATAACTAAGAGGTTAAATAACTTGTTCACCCATTTTACTAGCTGAGTAAGGAGATAGTGACTCTGTTTTGAATGACAAATATCCCATTACATCTCTAACAAAAAATTTCAAAACCCATGGGTAATTATTACTAAGAAATCCCTCTGCCTCTCCTGTAAAGTGATTGAAGACAAACTTTAAGAGGAAATATAGCAATTTAAACACCCAATACAAATTTTTTAACCTGAAAAAACGTTGGAATCCATTCCATTTAAAGGTATCGAATCTTAAGGGAGAAAGAGATAATAGCGTTTATTGAGCATGAACTATGTACCAGCTAGTACTAGATGCATCATAGATTATCTCAGTTTTATTCATTCTTCAAAACATCTTGGTAAGACAGTTATGTCTTTTTAACAGAATAGAAAGATACATGCAAGTTAGTAGGAAATACGTCTGGAATTTGAACCTAGATTATTTTAAATTCATGCTTTTTCCTCTATACATTGCTATCTCCCCCCTAAGGACAATATTGAAAATAAGGAGAGAATATAGATACGTTGTTAGCAACCATATTAGATCAGCAGTCAGATGTGCTGATTCAATAGCCATGCCTGTCTATTTAAGTTAAATAAATGTCAACAAAATCCCAGCAAGTCTGTTTTTTTGTTTTGTTTTGTTTTGTAAACAGACAAGCATGTTCTAAAATGTATATGTAAAAGTACAAGACCTAGAAGCTCTAAAACAATTTTGAAAAAGAAAAATAAAATAAGGAATTACTCTATTGGATATTACGTTTTACTATGTAACTATAATAAAGACAATGTGGTATTGGTGGAAGAATAGACACGTAGATCAGTAGACCAGAATAGAGTACACAGAAATAGAGCCACACAAATACACTCAACTGAATTTTGAGAAAAAATGCAAAAAAATAAAAAAATAAAGAACAAGATCAGCTTTTAAAATCTGAGGAAATTTTAGGGGGAAAGTTGCTACCTTTTTCAAAAAGGCAGAACTTGAAATTTGCACTTTCTTTCTGAAGATTCTGGGGAAATTATTACATAAAACATTTTTGCTATTTTCAGTTACTACAGTTGAAATTAGTCATTAAGACATAAGTGAAAATGGAACATGAATTATCCTAAAAATCATAAGCTTGATAAGAGTTGAGGTATAGGGATTTATTACTCTACTTAAAGGATCAGAGTGGACAGAACTTCAGAAAACAAAGGAGAAAAACGTCATATGAGGGGAAATGTGGACTGAATGTCAGGTTTCAAATGACTTTTAGTTTTTCTTAAAATGAGAGAGGTTTGGTGTATGTGTTAAAGAAATTGTACTAATTGAGAATAGTCAAAATTCAAAATTAAGGGAAATAGATAAGCCATTAGGTCTGATTTGATAAAAATATTTTGCATTCATGATTGTTCACCTGGAGTAGATGCAGTGATGAATGAATGCTGTTGGAAACAATTACATTTCAAACTTAATGGGCATATGCAGAAAACCATATGTTGATTATAGAGACATATACAAGAATGATAGAACATATATAAGATAATTTGTGTATGATTTTGTACTTTATTTTACAGATGGAGAAGAGTAACTCTAGACCTTCTGGCACAATCATAAAACATTTATTGTGTTTATCATTTGTAGAGCAATTACATTGGAATAAGTGAATACTTATAGAATCTCTTAAGGGAGGTCAGTCAATACGGATTTTCAAAAAAGACATGGTCATTCAGCAACTTCATATCTATGAACAATATTAATTTGATTTTATTTGGTCTTTATTCATGATATTATGTGTATCAGTAGTTCTTTCTTTTTTATTGCTGTGCACTAGTCTGTTATGTGAATGTACCACAGTTGATTTGTTCATTAATAAGTTGAAGGACATTTGGATTTGGGTTGTTACCAGTGTTTGGTGATTATGAATAAAGCCATTATACACATTTGTATGAAAATTTCGGTTTGGACATAACTTTTCACTTATATTGGGTAAACACTTAGGAGTGAGGTTGCTGCGTGAGAATTCCAGCTGCTCTGAGTACTTGCCAGCACTTAGTCTTGTCAGATTAAGTGAAAAAAAATAGCTATTCTAATTGGAGTGTAGGGGTATCTAATTGTGATTTTAACTTGCATTTCCCTAATGACACATGTTGCTAAGCATATTTTCATATGCTTATTTGCCATCCGTATATATTCTCTGATGAGTTGTCTTTTCAAATTTTTTGAAATTGTTCAAGTTGGGTTGTTTTCTTATTATTGAATTTTGAGAGTTCTTTATATTCCAAATGCAAGTCCTTTATTAGATACCGATTTCCAAATATTTTTCCCACATGGTCTGTCTTTTCATTCTCTTAATAAAGAGTCGAGGTTTTTCATCTTAGCGAAGTCCAGTTTATCAGTTTTTTTTTTCTTTTATGAATTGTGTTTTTGGTGTTGTATCTAAGAAATCCTAGCCTAATCCAAAGTTACAGAATTTTTCCCTTAAGTTTTCTTCTAGAAGTTTTTTAGTTATATTTCTTAATTTAGGTCTTTGATCCATTTCTAGTTAATTTTTGAATATGGTGGGTAGTGTGATAGAAGTCTACTTTTTTACACAGGTATGTCCAGTTGCTCTGCCACCATTTGTTGAAAAGACTACCTGTTCTCTATTGAATTGCCTTTGTACTATATCAAAAATCATTTTGTCACATATGTGTAGTTTTCATAATAATTTTAATGAATTAGTCCTGTGGAACTTCAGAATTGCACTTACTGAGCATAGATATATGGTGTTAATAAAATTAATTAATACAATTAATAAAATTCTTGAGGTTGTTTCTGTATTGGGTTTAGTGAAATATTCTTTGTTAAAAAACAAAATAATTTCTGTGATATATTTTCTTTGCAGTCATTAATTTTCAAAACATTAAGTGACTGTTCTTAGACCCTTTTATAGATGAGGAAACCTAATGGTGCTAGAAGTTTTATGTGAACTTTCTCATTCTGCAGTGATACTTCTCTGCTTATCTCCTCCCCCATATTTGTACATTACCCCTAACATTTTTTATATAGCAGTTTGTGACCTGTTAGTTGCTTAGTATTAGACATGAAAGCTACAAGACTGAATAAGCTTCAGTTCATATTCTAGAAACTATCTCTTTGCCAAGAAAATGGGAGCCTGGATTGTTGGAGCTTTGGTAACCATCATTAACATAGATTTAATTTTGCTCTTTTTAAATAAAATTATTTTGGCTTGGCACGGTGGCTTATGCCTGTAATCCCAGCACTTTGGGAGGCAGCGTGCGAGGAATACTTGAGCCCAGGAGTTTGAGACCAGCCTGGGCAACATAGTGAGACCCTGTCTCTAAAAAGAATAAAAAATTAGCTGTGTGTGGTGGTGCATGCCTGTGGTCCCAGCTACTTGTGGAGCTGAGGTGGGAGGATCACTTGAGCCTGGGAAGTCAAGGCTGCTGTGAGCCATGATTGTGCCACTGCACTCCAGCCTGGGTGACAGAGCGAGACCTTGTCTCAAAAAATTTATATTTTAGTTTTTAAAATTGACAAATAATTGTTGTATATTCCTTTTGGTTTTAAGAAGAGAATGATATTCGTTCTTTGAGAAACATTTTAAAACTACCTTCTTTAACCTTGGTTAATGATACTCAGTGCCTCATGTCTTCCTATGTGAAAGAGGAAATATGAGAATAATGTAGGTTGGGTTTGTATTGAGAATATTGTGCTAATTAAGTTGATTTTAAACTTAAGGAAATATAAACAGTTGGGTTAGCCATCTCAGATTCTTTACAAATTCAGAATACCATAGAGGATAATAGCTGGTTCCCTAGAGCTAGAATGCCCGAGTTTAAATTCTGGCTCTTTATTTATTTACTGTGTGACCTTGGACAAGTTACTTCTCTGTAGTTTACTTGGTCGCTCTATCTGTAAAATGGGGATAACAGTAGCATATAATATATGTAAAGCACTTAGAAGAGTGTCTTTTCCATTGTAAGCACTCAGTAAATGTTATTATTTTTAAATATATCACATCTGCAATCTGAGTTATTGAAGATTAACAGGCTTGCAAGTTAAAAAAATCAACTATTGTATAATGATATTTAAGTATCATATATAATTATGCAGTTATTAGTATTTCTTCTTTAAAGGTATTTATATACAAATACACATTTCTCCTTTTTGACCATCTTCTTCTACCTGTGACTTGAATTTTGAAACATTTTATTCTTCCTTGATTAGCTGTAGTAAGGCTGTCTTTTTTTCGTATTCATTTCTCAAGAGGATGGTACTGCTTTTGCTGAACTTATATTTTCTTTATTCACTGAGCTTCTGTTTTCTGTAGTCTATTGACTTGTGATTTTCTCTGAGTAGTTTTTTGACAGCAAACATTTATTAATGGAAAAAAACCCACACATATCAGGTAGAATTTGACCTCAAGCTAAGGTTGTGTAATAGCTGTCTATTTTTGACTTTTTTCCACATATAAACCCATTTTAGTTTTTAAATTTTTTCCTTTATTCTCCATTGTTTATGAAGTGATGAAAGAATAGAGTAATATGGTGTAGGACATTTAGGAACTGTGACTCACTGGGATAAAGTTGTTTTATCCTGTCACTAGCTTGCTGTGTGTTTTTAGGTATGTGTTATTTAATTAATCAGTTTCTTCACATATAAAATGGGAATTAACATGTTTATGATTATTTTGAGAAGTAACACAATTGTACTTTGTATATAATGTTTGTCAAGAATAATAAAGTTCTTTTTCCTTTCAAAAAATGACTAAAGATTTAGGTGTTCTAGACAAAGTACTTCTTTAACCCTGATATATAACTCAGTGGACAATTTAAACTTAATTCATACCCCAAAGGTAGTATTTTAATGTGATTATATAGACTTCATATCTTGAAGAGGTTACAACAGTGAGAATTACTACCTCAGAATGTCATGTGTGTATTCAGGTTGCATATGTACATGACTTCATTTATACCACATGAATACTTATATTTTTGGAAAGTAAACTTCCCAAATGCATGTGTTGTAGCCCATATGAGACTGGCCAGACAGCCAGTGCCTTTGCATTGGGAACACTTTGGAGCTATTCAAAACCAATAAAGTCATTAGCTCTGATTTCAGCTAAGCAGAGTAAACAAATTCCTGCCTGAATAGAAACCAGGAAGCTGCATTTCTGTCATTGAAACAAGGTTGTAAAAACTCAAATGTTCTGGAAATACCTTCTAATGTTTATGCAATATTGACATACTTAGTTTAACTCAGTAGTAACAGTAGTTACTCAGTGACTCAGTAGTAACTCAGTAGTAATAGTAGTACAACTACTAGTCCTTTTTAAAAGCATGATGATAATTGGATTTTTTTTAATTGGTTCTAAATATTATTTTGCATGCACTCACCAAATTATGATTAAATATGTATAGTGTTGTGTTACTAGATAGGGTTCATTTGGTTATTGCTCTCAATTTCTGTCTTGATAACTGAAAACTAATTAACTGTGTATTTACGCATTTTTCCATAATGTACAAAGAAATATCTGAACTGAAGGACAATATATTATGTCACAAATTCCAACAAATTTAGCCTTATAGAAAGATTTTTAAAAATATTTTGGTTGTTAATGTTTTAATTCCATACTCCTGTGGCATTATTCACAGGTTCACTAATAGATCTTTCCCACCCTTTTGCTTTTCTAATATATTAATACCCGATTTCCTCCTACTCAAATAAGCCATCAAGAAAGTAGAGCCTCGGTATGTATGGCAGTTCAGTTTGTGCCGTATTCTTGCTTTGCATAGCTCCCCTTACTCTTGGCTATGTAATACCTAGCATATAAATGCTATGTAAATAGCTGTTAATAGAGATAACATTATTGCTATGTAATACCTAGCAGTATAAATGCCATGTAAATAGTTGTTAGTGGAGATAATTTAAAATATAGAGGAAGAGATTTAACAGATAAATAATAGAGATCATTTAAAGTACAGAGGAGGATGTGCATAGTTATATGCAAATGCCACATCATTTTATATACAAAACTTGAGCATCTGTGGATTTTGGCATCCACGAGAGGTCCTGGAACCAATCTCCCACGTATACTGAGGTTCATAATGTGATTTCCATGCAAGATATGAAATACAAAGAATTTCTAACATTTTTTTTCTTGAAAACAATTTTATGACTAACCCAAATAATATATTTTTAATGTGATTTTGAAAAAGCTGAATTCCTCTTTGCTGTTAGCATTTAAGAGTCAGAAATGGGAAGTAAAATGACTTACTGTAACTTCGTCATGAAATTATGTTTGAAAGTTGGTTTTAAACATTTTTAGTAAGAAAACTAATAAAAATCGAAGGAAAAATAATGGCCATTGCTTATTATTGAAGTTATTTTATAAATTTTATTCATTTAGATCCCAGATTTTAGTCATTCCATTTTGTAAATATTTTTCCAGTGTCTATTATGTTCCAGATATTATGCTAGGTACTGGGGTAACCAAGAGTAATATGATGAGATCCCTTTCCTCCAGGAGATTACAGTATGATAGAGAGATGGAAGAGACACTTAACAAGTAACACAGTGTTTACTGATAGAAGTCTTCATAGGGTAAGGTGGAAGGAAAAAGGGAAAGTGTTAACGTTGAGTCTTGATAAAGATGAGTTGACATTCAAAAGCACAGGTAATTCAAAATGGCAAATACTCCAAAGATCATTCATATTTAACTTTGGACTTGGTTTTATGCCTTAATTTGAACATGGATATGTTTTACCAGCTAACTGCTTTTACAACAGAGCCTCATGATTGCATTTAAATACCTGACTAAAGTAATCGCTTGGAGGCTGTATACTCTTGTCCCATTCTGAGACTCTTTTAAAAAAAAGACATCTCTTTTAAATTGATTTGAAACATAATTGCCCTTTCTTAAGTCCTCCCTGAAGCAGTGACAATAATTAGGTGGGTGTATTTCAAACTTCTTGAGGTACAAACTACAAGAATATTGTATAATTAGAAAGCCAGAAAGGATCAAAGTAAATCATTTAAAATGAGTATTGTAGTTGTTATCAGATTTCTCATAAGCAGTATGTTAACTATATAATTTAATCTAAAAGTTCAAAAAGATTAAAGTGTTTTGGGGAAATGACCATAGATATTAATAAACCTTTGAAAATATTTGGTAGTATAAAAGACACAGTACAAATTAAAACTTGCCTGGTGAATCCAAAAAAACAAACCAACTAAATCTTATTTTTGGAAATGTCTTGCTTAAAAGACTGTTAGATAAATTGATAAAGTGTGTTATAGTAAAAATATACAAAGATACTTTTTTATTTCTCTCCAATTTGTGTTTCTTAAAGCAAAGAGTATGTTCATGAGTATGTATATACCTTTATGGGTTGGTTTGGGAGATTCATTTCACGTTGACCAAAAGTGATCCTATCATAATTTTAAAAGTGATCTTTCCACAACAGTATGACATATCAAAACTACACTAGGGCTGGGCACTGTGGCTCATGACTGTAATCCCTGTGCTTTGGGAAGCTGGGGCAGGAGGATTATTTGAGCCTAGGAGTTTGAGGTTACAATGAGCTGTGATCGCACTGCCACTGCACTGCAGCCTGGGGCGACACAGCGAGATCCTATCTCAAAAAATAAATAAATGATACAAAAAAACTAAATTAAGACTATTGAGTCAATACTATTATGATAGTGATATGGCAGTAAGTTTTGATTCACATATTTTTTATTCTCTATACAGGCAGCATTATTCACCTCTGATGAATTATTAGCTAAAATGTTTTTATTTTTTTCTGTATTGTTTTTATCAGAAAAACATTCACACATCATGCATTTGTTGAGCACATGTCAGACACTGTGCCAGCTGCTTTAGGAACATTGTATGAATCCTGACAATCCTAGGTTGCTCATTTTACAGATGAAGAAATTGCAACTAAGAAAGCTTAATAAACTTTTCAAAGGCAGTAAAAGTAGAGCTTTAGAGTTTGAATCTTGGTCTGCTTGACACTGAAGAATTGCTGTTTTCATGACATACTATGCCTGCCTAATGAATGAAACACAGCATCATTCCTCAAGGAGCTTTAAGTCTAGATGCACATGACAAGAAATTTACCTGATGTGATGTATTACTAATCTTATTTTTAGCATTAAAATTTTAAATTGTCTTATATATATAAATATATATATGAAACATAAAATTTGCCATCTTAACCATTTTAAAGAATACAGTTCAAAAGTGTTGAGTACATTCACATTATTGTGCAGCCAATCTACAGGACTGTTTTTACCTTGCAAAACTAGAACTCCTTACACGTTACACAAAAGCTTTCCATTCTCCCCTTTTTGCCAGCCCCAGCAACCACCTTTCTACTTTCCATCTCTATGAATTTGACTATTCTAGATACCTTATATAAATGGAACCATATAGTATTTGTCATTTTATGACTGGCTTATTTCAATTCATATAATATCATCATGGTTCATGTTGCAGCGTGTGTCAGAATTTCCTTTCTTTTTAAGGTTGAATGATATTCCATTGTATGTATATACCACATTTTGTTTAACTTACCATCTGTCGATAAATACTTGGGTTGCTTCTACCTTTTGGCTATTTGTAAATAATGCTGCTATGAACATAGGTGTACAAATATCTTTTTGAGACCCTGCTTTCGATTTTTTTGGTTCTATACCCTGAAGTGGGATTGCTAGATCATATGGTAATTCTATTTTAAATTTTTAAGGAATTGCTATACTGCTTTTTATAGCAGCTATACCATTTTACGTTGTCACCAACAGTGCACAGAGGTTCCAATTTCTCCACATCCTTATGTATGGTGGAATTATTTTGAAAAAGTAAATTCCAGGATATATTCTGGATTTACTTTCCATTTCAACAAAGCCATGCTGTTGATAATTCATGTTGAGAGGGTTAGTTCTTAAGATACTGAGATATCCCTGATTGTTAAAGGAATATGAAATTATGTTCTTGCGGTGATTCGTCAAGGATCTAGGACCAGAAATACCATTTGATCTAGCAATCCCATTAATGGGTATATACCCAAAGGATTATAAATCATTCTAATATAAAGACACATGCACACGTATGTTTATTGCAGCCCTATTTATTGCAGCACTATATATAAACACTATATATAAACACGCATGTTTATTGCACTACTATTTATTGCAGCAAACACTTGGAACTAACCTAAATGCCCATCAGTGATAGACTGGATAAAGAAAATGTGGTACATACACATCATGGAATACTATGCAGCCATAAAAAGAATGAGTTCATGTCCTTTGCAGGGACATGGATGAAACTAGAAACCATCATCCTTAGCAAACTAACACAGGGACAGAAAACCGAACACCACATGTTCTCACTCATAAGTGGGATTTGAACAATGAGAACACATGGACACAGGGAGGGGAATATCACACACTGGGGTATGTCGGGGGTTGGCGGGAAAAGGGCGGGGAGAGTATTCGGACAAATACCTAATGCATGTGGAGCTTAAAACCTAGATGGCGAGTTGATAGGTGGAGCAAGCCACCATGGCACATGTATACCTGTGTAACAAACCTGCACGTTCATCACATGTATCCCAGAACTTAAAATAAAATTTTAAAAAAAGGAATTACGTTCTCTATACTGTGCTTAAGTTAGTGATTGATTTTTCGGAAAGCAGGATTAAAGGACAAAAATAGAACTGCTCAATTTTAAGTTTATTGAAACTAAAATTAAAAATTTGGCCCCACTTAAACATTTGTCCTGGGTCACTTACTAGTATATAGTTTACAGTTTTATTTCTACCAAATGAGAACAAATATGTGAGTTTAATAAGTAAAGATCTATTTTAAAATGATTAAACTGTAAAATTTGTCTCTGGAAAGTCTGTTTCAGGGGAGAATTTTTGATCATAGACACTTTTGATTGTATTACCTAGTGCTGCAAAAAATTACCATAAATTTAGCAGCTTTAACCAAGACACATTTATTATCTCACAGTTTCTATGGATCAGGAATCTGGGCTTGGCTCAACTAGATCCTCTGCTTAGGGCCCTACCAAGCTGTAATCAACACATGGGTCAGCTTGGTCCTCTGCTTCGATTCCCACAAAAATGTAATCAAGGTTTCAGCTGTTCTGCATTGTTATATAGAGGCTTGACTGGGTGAATAATCTACTTTTACACTCCCTCAGATTCTTGGTAGAGTTCCTTTCCTTGTGGTTGCAGGACTGAGGGCCCTGGCTTCTTGCTGGATGTTGAGTGGAGGCTGCTTTCAACTCCTAGAGGCTGCCTGTAGTTCCTAGAGGATGGCCACAGTCCCTCGTTATGGGGACTTTCTCAACATGGTCACTTAATTACTTCAATCAAGTCAGCAAGGAAAGCCTCTAGAGTCTTATATGACACAGTGTAATCATATATGTAAAATCTCATCGCCTTTGCCATATTCTATTGGTTGGAATTCAGTGATAGGCCATGTTCACATTCAAGGGGATGGGGATTATAGAAGGGCATAAACAGCAAGAGGTGAGGATCATGGGGGCCTATCTTAGAGTGTCCAACACATTGCTTAATTGGTAGGTTTCTTTCTCTGTTTTATTTTGTCCTGGGCTTAATATATAGGCATAGATTTTTTTTGTTTTGTTTTTTGTTTTTTTTTGCCTTTGAGCCAGAGTCTCACTCTGTCGCCCAGGCTGGAATGCAGTGGCGTGATCTTGGCTCACTGCAACCTCCACCTCCTGGGTTCAAGTAGTTCTCCTGCCTCAGCCTCCCCAGTAGCTGGGATTACAAGTGCATGCTGCCACACCCAGCTAATTTTTGTATTTTTAGTAGAGATGGGGTTTCACTATGTTGGCCAGGCTGGTGTCGAACTCCTGACCTCAGGTGATCCACCCGCCTCAGCCTCCCAAAGTGTTGGGATTACAGACGTGAGCCACTATGCCTGGCCGGATCTTTATTTTAGGTAGATGTGGACCCACCTTTATCTTTAGCTCTAATTTACTTTTGTTATTTAAATAAAGTGAAAAAATTGAATAGAAGAAGTCTTCTTTACAAAAGCTATCAGTGACTAATATGTAAATGTAAAGCTTATTTGAGAGACATATTTTCTTTTTTTTTTTTTTTTTTTTTAGAAGGAGTCTTACTCTGCCATCCAAGCTGGAGTGTTGTGGCATAATCTCGGCTCACTGAAACCTCCACCTCCTGGGTTCAAGCAGTTGTGCCTCAGCCTCCCATGTAGCTGGGATTACAGGCGTGTGTCACTATGTACAGCTAATTTTTATATTTTTAGTAGAGACGGGTTTCACCATGTTGGCCAGACTGATCTCGAGCTCCTGATCTCAGGTGATGCACCTGCCTTAGTTTCCCAAAGTGCTGGGATTACAGGCATGAGCCACAGCACCTGGCCAATATTTTTTTTTACTAGGTTGATTTTGGGGATCCTGGAGAATACTTGAAAATATATAATATTGTCAAATTTATTGTGGAAACTGCTGTCCTGTGTATGTTTTGTTAATCATTTGCATCACCCATATTTATTCTCACTTTTTATCTAGTTCTTATTTGTGTATCTCTCTACTGTCTTCTTCGGAAATGTGTATCTCTCTACTTTCTTCTTCAGAGGTGCACACAAATAAGGAAAAAGTAGATTTTATTCTAGTTAGATGTGGGCCTACTTCTAAGTTTCAATATATCTTTCAGCACCAAGCTACAAGCTCTGTTAACTTCCTCCTTTTGTGTAACACTAAGGAACAGGTTTATGTATCATAGATAACAGTAAACTCTTTTACTAAACTATTTGTATTCATATGTTCACTATCCCATACCACCTCCAATTCCAAGGATCTGAAAGGGATTTTTTTTTTTTTAATTTCTCAGTTCAGTTTTCCTTGATGAGTTGCTTTGGTCAATAATAGTAAGAAAGCGATAAATTTGAAGTGACCTATGTGATTTTCTGGGATCAGATGAGTACAGCAACTCAGTTTAGGATTTCTGTTTGTCCCGCATATTTGTAAGTGCTTTAAGTCTTTTCTGATAAAATGTGAAAAGAATTTTTAAAGTAGTCTTCTCTAAGCCCTGGTACGAGAGTCTGTTCACTTGGATTTTGAAATATCTGAGTAAATTATTACTACCTTTATTGTTGATGATAAACATTCCAGAATCATATGTAGAATTTTTTTCCTCTCATTTGGCACTTAATTGGGGAAAGCAGCATGTCTGCTTATCTTTTCAAATTACAAATTTTATTTTTGAAATAAAGATTTATTATCCCAGAGAATTCAGAAATTATTTTTGTTTTTATGTGGATGAAAGTGATTTAAATTATAGTAAGTATCAATGAGTATACACTGTGGTTCTCCGTAGGATGAATATTCTTATATTGAAAACCTGATACCTTGAGGGTAGATGAGATGGGAGCAATGGAGTGTTCTGTTTCTAAAGGCCATTTCTGACTGAGATAATTTCCAGGATAGAGTGATCTTCTTGACTCATTCACATTCATTTTATTTCTAGTTCCTTCAGACCCACAGCTTCATGATAAATTAGTCATAAGATGATATGAATAGGAAGTAACCAGTAACTAAGGTAACAGAGGAAAGCAATATTTTTCTTTTTTTATGGATAATCCTCTTCCTATGCATAATCCTTTTTTCTATGGATAATTCTGAGAGTCATTTTATGGCAAAAATTTAATTATCACGATTCTGTCTTAATATTGATTTCTGGACTGTTTTCCGAATGCTCTTCTTTCTATATGCTTACAATGAATCTGTCACAGTTCTTTTTTTAATCCCACATAGTCTGTTTTGTTGAGCTAAGGTGGTAGATGGTGTTATCATTTAATGAAATGGGAAACCCTGAAGAAAGAGCAGATATGAAGCAGGGGTCAAGAATTCCTTTTTGTATTGGTTATTTTTGAGAGACATCTGAGATAAACATGTGGAAATGTCAAGTATGCAGTTGGATATATGGATCAGGAACTCAGAGTTAGTCACTGAGTAAACGTGAATCATGTTAGTAAATTAGCTGCGTGGGGAAAGAATGTGGAGTGGGATGAGAAGGTGATCCTAGTCCATTTCCTGAGGAATTACAGTGTTTCAAGGGTATTGAAAAAAAGCAGCAAAGGAAATTGGAGTAAAATAAAAGGAGTGTATGGTATTACAGAAGCTAAAGACTCAAATAGGAGAGTGGTCACCTGTGACATGCTGCAGAGAGATCAAATAAGATAATGACTGATGGATCCGTTAGCAAAGTAGACATCATTACTGACTTTATTGACCATTGCTGGTTTTCAATGGGATTTTTTTTTAGAATAGAGATGCTAGTTGAGTAAATAATGCTAATTTACTTTTTAATAAATTGGTTTCCAATTTTTCATATAGTAAAATTCACTCTTTTTCATGTAGGGTTCTGAGATTAAAAAATGTATAGAGTTGTGTAACCATCATCACAATCCAGATAAAGAGTTGTTCGATGACCCACCCTCCCCAGCACACACACACACATACACACACTCTTCCCATGTGATGCCTCTTTGTAGTCAGCCTCTTCCCTATCCCTAACTCCTTGCAACCACTAATTTCTTCTCCATTCCTTTTAGTTTTACCTTTTACAGAATAACATATAAATGGAATCCTACAGAATGTAGCCTTTTGAATCTTGCACCTTTTATTTACAATGTGTTTGGGATTCATCCATGTTGTTGAATGTATCAGTATATTATTCTTTTTTATTGCTGAGTGATACTCGTCTTCCTCTACCCCCAACCCGTTGAACCAATTATCTTTATTCTTTCCCTACAGTTTTGCTTTATTCAAAGTATCTTATACATGAAGTCATACAGTATTTAGCCTTTTGGATTTGGCTTCTTTCAGTTAGCAGAAACGCTTTTAAGATTCATCGATGTTGTTACAAGTATCAACAGTTCTCTTCTTTTTATTGATGAGTAAAAAGTAGTATTCTTTTTATCCACTCATCAGTTGAAGACCATCTTGATTGTTTCCAATTTATGACAATGATAAATAAAGCTGCTGTAAAAATGTATGTACAGATTTGTGTCTTAACATGTTTCCACTGATTTCGGGTTAATGTTCTCTGTTTTCTGGTCTCCATGATTTCTTACGAGAAATCTGCAGTCATTCAGTTTGATGTTCCTCTTTATGTAATGTGTGGTTTTTCTCTCACTCCTTTCAATATTTTCCCCATTTTTCCTTTGGTTTAAAGTAGTTTACTTAAGATGTGTCTTGGGGTGGATTTCTTTAATTTTATTCTGTTTGGGATTTACTGAACTTCTTGAAACTGTAATTTTTTTTTTCAAATTTGGGAAATGTTCAGCCATTATTTATCTTGAAAATACAGCTTTAGTGAGATAGAATTCACATAACATATAATTCACCCATTTAAAATATACAATTCAATACTTTTTATTATATTCACAAATATGTACAACTATCACAACAGTAAATTTTAAAAGTTCTTCATCACATCAAAAAGGAACATTGTACCCTTTAGTTATGACCTCCATCTCCACATACCTCACCCCAACCAACCATTAGTCTGCTTTCTGTCTCTATACATTTCCCTGTTTTCATTATTTCATATGAATGAAATTGCCTTTATTTCGTTAAGTGATTTTTTCAGTATTACTCTGTTATTTTATGGGATGTTAATGACATGGATTTTAGAATGTCTCATAGTGTTTCATATGTCTCTGAGGCTCTGTTTATTTTTCATCATTTTCACTCTTTTCTTCATATTGGATGACATCTATTGATCTGTCTTAAAGTTTATTTCCTCAGCCACCTGCATTCTTTTATTGAGTCTATCCAGTATTTTTAAAATTTTTCATATGATTTTTAGTTCTAGAATTACTTACATTTGTTTTTTTTCATAGTTTCTATTTCTCTGCTGAGAACCTTTTATCATTTCATTCAGGTGTGTTTATTTTTATCCAGAAAAGCATAGTTATAGTAGCTGCTTTAAGATTCTTGTCAGATAGTTCAACTTTGGAGCCATCTTGGAGTTGATACTTGTTGATAATTTGTTTGTTTCAGCAGGCAATCTACCTAGTTAGGTTGACTCCAAAGTTATGTCTTGTCCTCTCTGGATAATGGTTCCAATGTTAATTCAGTTTTCAGAGAGTTTGGGTCAGCACTCTGCATGTGCCACTCATTGGATGTGCTAATTCAGTGGTTAGTCTGAGACGAGCAATTATTGGTATTGTAGTTCAGTACTCAAAGACTTTGTTATGTTTCTTTAGTCCTTTCTGCACACATGCAGTTTTTTGTTGTGACCAGGACTTGTGTTGGTTCATACACAGAATTAGGGGATCTGCTCTCTTCATTCTATCCTCTCTGATTTCTTCCACATTCTTCAATTCCCATGGGCCCTTTATTCTGTTCTGCTGGCCACAAATATGAGTTTCTCTCAGAGTCTTAGCTTTTTATGCTGGAATATAACTTTACACTATTGGAGCTGCCTTTTGGATGAAGTAAAGAAGAGAGTGCAAAAAAAATAACAGGGATTACCTTCACATTTTTCTTATAAAAGGGACCTCTTTTCCTGCTTCCTCTGGCCAGAGAGAGAGATTTTCTCTTGATCAGGGCTTGCCTTGGAGTTGGACTCAGCATCAAAAAAGAGAAAGTGTGTACATGGGGAATCTTGGATTCTCCTTATGTTTACAGGCTCAAAAGTGCGTCTTTTCCTGGTCCTTTGTCTAGAAAATGGGATTTTTCTTGGAATTTTTGTTGATGTCTACTGTGTAATTTTGTGACTCATTCTCTCCTCTGCTCAAATTCAGGAGATAAAGGTAGAAAATAAACCTAGGGAATTCATCAGAGTTAATTTTCAAGTTTTGATCTTCCCTAATTAATTTGTTTTTGTTTCATTTTCAGAGTTCTTATGTAGTTTCTTTTTGTATTCTACATAAGGATTTTAGTTTATAATAGGGGGAGATAGGCTTATGAGCTTATTTCATTTTGACTGTCACAAGAAACTCTAATTTACTTTTTAATTTTTTTTTCTGTTGACTTACAAATGGGCAGTGGTAAAAATCCTTTTTATCTAGTTCGTCTTCCTGTTGCCTAATTTTCAAACATCTTAGTTCAGTGTTTGGCAGATTGTAAGGGTGCAGATAGGAAATATTTTAAGCTTTGCAGACATAGGGTCTCTGTCACAACTGGTCAACTCTGCTGTTGTAGTGCAAAAGCAGCCATAGATAAGATGGAAACAAATGGGTCTGGCTGTGTTCTAGTAAAATTTTTACAGAAACGGACAAGAGGTCAGATTTAGCTCATGGGTTATAGTTTGTAGAACCTTGATCTAAGTCTTCTACTTTACTGTTTCTTGAATTAGTTGTTAAAGAATGAGTAGTATTACCTACTGAGCTCTGCATGTTGACTTGTTTTGTTTCCATGATTACTTACATCTTTCTCCTATAGTTTATTTTTTCTTCTGTATAGTATGTCATGATGTTTAATTAACTGAATGAAAGAGGAATTCACAACAGTGCAATTATATAAAACTGTTCTTATTATAATTTGCTTTGAATATACCCCCATGGTAGATTTCTGTGGCATTTTTTTTCCTGTCATAAATACTTGGTTGGGGACAATTTAATGAAAGTACATAGGTTATATACTTAGTGTATAGTTATCTGTTATTGCAAAACTCTAAACAATATGAAATTAAGCATAAAGCTCTGAAAATCAAAGTTTCTCAAGGATAATCTGGGAACCATGTTAATAGTGTTCCTTTTCTAAGTACTTCTATGTGTCCTTTGTCCTTTTGTTTTTCAGTAAGTGTGGATCTTGTTAGATTGTGGAAGGAAATGCCTAGGGTTATATTTTTCTTAGTTATCACTCTTGTTTTAATACTTTTGAACCTCAATTTTTGAACAATGTTTTTCAGGTAAATGGTCTTAAAATGGTTGATGAGCCAATGGAAGAGGGAGAAGCAGATTCTTGTCATGTAAGTATTTATGTTAATTTATTAAGCCACATTTTTAGCATATAAGGAAAAAGAATACAGGGAAAGGAGAAAAGCTCCTATCAAACAAATATATTCAGGTAAGTTGGTAATAAGCAAATGGAATTATTAATAACTCAACTGCAGTTTAAAATATAGGACAGGTTTTCCTGACAGAAATACTTATGCATGCATTTTTAAAAATAAACAGCTTTATTGAGACATAATTTACATGCTATTGAATTCACCCATTTTAAGTGTAATGGATAAAATTTTCAGTTGCCAGTGTATGAGTAACTGAATTATTATACTTAAATATAGAATCCTTTGAGAAGATTATCTTCAACCTCAGGGTAGAAAGGATATCTGACTTGGAAATATTGAACTGTATAAGCATAACTTGAAATCATTTAAAATCAATTTCCTGGCTTTTAGAAAGGATTATGTGTAAATTATTTCAGAAGTTTCTAACTAGTTTTAAAGACTGCTTAGCCATTAGACCATTCTATGTAATGCCTAGATACTAGAGTCTTATTTTACAAGATCTAGTTTTACAGAGAGCATTCTTAAGATTTGTAGGGAGAATCTGACTAAATCAGCATCTACATTTATGTTGTTATTTTATGGTTGTTATTTCTATAGATATTTTCATAGAGTTATAGATTTTTTTTTTTTTTTTTTTTTTGAGACGGAGTCTCGCTCTGTCGCCCAGGCCGGACTGCGGACTGCAGTGGCGCAATCTCGGCTCACTGCAAGCTCCGCCTCCCGGGTTCACGCCATTCTCCTGCCTCAGCCTCCCGAGTAGCTGGGACTACAGGCGCCCGCCACCGCGCCCGGCTAATTTTTTGTATTTTTAGTAGAGACGGGGTTTCACCTTGTTAGCCAGGATGGTCTCGATCTCCTGACCTCATGATCCACCCGCCTCGGCCTCCCAAAGTGCTGGGATTACAGGCGTGAGCCACCGCGCCCGGCCGAGTTATAGATTTTTTAAGCTGGAAAGAACCTCAGAGATATTATGTAATACTTCATTGTATGGATTAGTCTACTGAAACTTGGAGAGTCTGTGATTTATACTAGGTGATAAAAGTAGCTAGTAGCAGAATCAAGACTTAGGGCAGTATGCTTCCTTTTAGGTCAGATATATTATGTAGACCTGAAGAAGTAGAAGATGAGGAGAACATTATCCTTTTTCTATTTGGTTGTGGATGAAATCAACTTTGATGACCCCTCCACCAAAACTTGTTCATAATTGGAATTAGCTCAGATAGAAACCAGCAGAGGGATTTAAATTGGGTTTGTCCAAAACTCTCCTTTGAAATGTTCTATGTAACTATTTCTGCAGTTAGTAACCATGTAACAACACTTTTAATTTTGATTGACAATATGAGAGATACAATGTTGTCTTTGTAGCTTTTGCAGTTTACTGAATATTAATAATATATTGTAATTTTGAGTATAATTAAATGTAAACTATCAAAACCATTATCTAGAGATTTGTCTACAGTTCATATGGACTAATAGGCATAGTAATATTAATGTTGCCAGTTTATAAAAGATAAAGGAGTATAAGGAACTATTAAAGGCAGTGGAGAAGGAGAAGGCTGCTTATTATATTTTAGCATTAATAAATTCACAAGGATATCATGGCTTACACCACAGGGGAACAGTGTGTGTGGTGCATAAACTCAAGGACACATACACAGGGTGATTGGCAAATATTTACCTTTATAATTTTAGTAGAAGATAAGTCAGGAAGTTCAGTTTTTAGTGGAAAGGCAGTAAAAATATACAGTGCTAGTTACTTACATGATCTACCTTATGCAATCAACTTCAGTGGCTAAAAGGTAGAGTGTGAAATTTTGGAGAGTAAAGGACCTAGAATCACTTCCAAGGATTTGATTTAGTTTGTGGCCTGAGTTATCTGGACTTGAAACCATGTACTTTGGGTGTGTGATGGTTAAAGTACTCAATTTGTGTCAATAAAACTACATGAGTGATTAAAAACACCATATGTATTTATCCCTTAAATTTTTTAAATATACAGCTACGATTTTTTTCTTTGTGATTGTCATGTGTTTTTTTGTGGTTGGCTTTTTTTTTTACTGTTTTAAAATAGTGTAGGATTGTAGAGACTGCTCTGTGATGGTAAGTATTAGGTAACAGGTTGCTGATAAACTATATCTAATATCACATTTCACCACCTAGTATCCTACTTCTTTCAGCAATGTCAAGGTTAGAAAAAGTTTGTTATGATTTGTCTCCTTTAGTAGTTGGCTGACATGAGTTAACTTTTTATTTGTTGTCAAAATAAGCATAACTGCCTTATATTTGGTAGTTTATGATCCATTGGTATTTATTTTTAAAACTCTACCCAGTATCTGTTTTTTCTGAAATAAAATACATATTTTTAATGCTATCAATATCTTAAAAATTTCAAAGAATATTCAGTTAGCAATTAGATTCTTTGTTGATTACATTAGTGCAAGGTCAGCAACATGTTTAGTCTCTAAAGTGATTTATATTTTTATTATGCAGAGATGTAAATGTCATAGTGAACTGAAAATGTATATTTTGAAAAACAATGCTGGATATCCTGATTTTTTTAAGCCCTGAATTTCTTATTTTAAAAACCATTCTTGACATGTGTCTGTTAAGAATTCTTTCAAAAATACTTTTTTACAAGTGTGTTTTACTTAGACTCAGTGGAACCACAGGTAGGAGCTATTTCAAGCTGAGAATGCCTGCTTTCTGTATGGTGGATTTTTTTTTCCTCTATTTGTCTTTCTATTCTGATGCACATTTAGCCTTAGTATGCTTCAGTATTTTTTCTCTTGCAATGCTGATGTTTACTTCTAATTTCTATTCAGTTACTTAAAAAACTGGAAACCTTGTCCTACAGATATGCAAAACTCTCAGATGAATAATTATTGTTCAACTAAAAAATGTTGGTCAGCCACTATAAAGTCGAGTTATGCTGCACCATCAGGTATGCAAAGATAAGTACTACAGAGAGTATCTGACTCAGGATGGTTCAACTTATGAGTTTCAACTTTATAGTGGTGCAAAAGTGATATTCAGTATGTTCCTCAACTTACAATAGGATTAAGTTTGGATAAACTCACTGTAAGTTGAAAGTGAATTTTCAACTTACAATAGGTTTATGGGGACAACACTGTCATAAGTCCAGGAACATCTGTACAAATAAGTTCAGTAACTTCAATTTTTATGGATGTTTTGTGGTTTTCAAAGTTCTCAGTTGATCCTTATAACTGAGATCTGAAATAGAGTAAGTATTACTGCCAATTTGTAGATGAGGGAACTAAGGAGCTGACCCTCGTAAGTAGAATAAACCAAACCAAGTGGGAACTAGTTTGCCGGCATTCTTTGGTTTTCAGTCATAATGCAGACTTTTACAAAACTAAGTGTTCTGCAGATACCTTCCATTGTGTACATAATTTTGATGTGCTTAGTTCACCCTCATGGCATTTTGGCATTTATATTGGTATTACGCTTAGCTTTCTTTCAAAGTACACTAATATTTGACATGGTTTTCAATGACCCCATATTATTCACTGAATGAGAAGGGTATATCGAGCTGCTCTTCTGGGTCTTTGCATATATGTTTCAGCAAATCCACAACTAAATGATTCTTGGATTTTTAGGGTGATCTTTTCACCAAGCTGGCCTGTGTACCTACAAATAAAGCTGATGTTTGAATAGATGAATGTTTTATTATTAAATAAAAATGAACAAGTTCAGGCTTTAAAAATACTTCTTTTGTTTTGATTTGTTTTCTGGAGGTTAGTTCCACAGTCATATGAAAACTGCTGTAATTGAGTTATAATAGTATATTGCTATTAGGTTGTCATCAGCTTTTTCTCTTTTCAATTAACAGGTGATTCCATCTTCCTAAACAAATCAGTTATCAAATGAATGGAGCAATAGTAGATTTGACAGTTCATTTTGTACTTTAACAGTGTGTTTTCCCAGTGTTACAGCACTGTTGGCCCTCTGGATTAAAAAGATGATCACAGATTATAGAGGTCAGAACATACTATTTTGGTTGTGGTTGAGCCTTCATACTTTTTCTGTATATCACTGATTACTTTATGGTCGCAAAAAAATAATAAAACCTAATTAATAGTCATCCTGGCCTCAGATTCAGATTTTTTATTTGATGTAGAAAGACTAGGGGTCCTTATTTAGAGGTTATTAAATCTTCATTTCACAGTAGCAACATTATTTTCAAAGATCAGCTAAGATTATGTACCATGTGTAGTTTGCTAGGGCTACCCTAACCAAATAACCACAGATGGGTGGCTTAAACAGCAGAAATTTATTTTCCCAAGATGCTGCATTCTATAAGATTGAGATCAAGGTGTTGGCAGGGTTGGTTTTTCTGAATCCTCTTTCCTTAGCTTATAGATGAGTCTTCTCCTTGTGCCTTTACGTGGTCATTCCTCTGTAGGTGTAGGTATTCTAATTTCCTCCTCAAATAAGGATGTCAGTCATATTGAATTAGAACCCACCCATATGGCCTCATTTTACCTTAATTACTTCTTTAAGGGCCCTATCCCTAAATACAGTCATGTTCTGAGGTACTGGGAGTTAGGACTTTAACATATTAACTGTTAGGGGACATAATTTAGCCCATAGCATACTTGTAGCTTTTTGTTTCTTTGACGGATGTGATGTTTCTGACAAAGTTCTCTATCCTCAAATTCACAGTTTATTTCTGTATCCCCAGTGTGCAGCACAGTGTCTGATAATAGGATATGTGCTTAATGAATGTTGATTTGCTGGGTGAATAATAAGAGTGCATATATGGGAAGATAAGGTGATATAGCACAACTTTATCATACCAGGATAGGGAATTTTTTTAAGGATGATTTACTCTCAGGAAAAAAGAAATATATCACTTATAAGTACATTACCACCTATTTCAGGCTAGATTGCTGCTACTATCAAGCTTTTGAAATGGTGCAGAACCTGAAGACAGGGAGGTGGAGGGAAGAAAGAGGGTTTCAGTTGACAAAAAGGGACATTATAATAGTAAAAATCAATAAACATAGCCTTGGGATGGCTGAGAAATTTTAGGCAATAGACAAGAATGGGGCAGGGAGCAGATAGAATAAGACAGAATAAGTATTGGAAATGGTGACACAGGAGGGTATCACATACTTTGAGAGTAAAAAAGAGCTAGTGGCGTAGAAATGATAAAAGTGTTAAGTAGCTATATATAAACACATACACACATGTGTATATGTGTGTGCACGCATGTATGCACATATGTGTATGTATTTGTGTGTATATCTATTATGTATCTGTATAACTATAAATCTTAGAAGCACCCAAATATTGTTTTTCAATCCTGGCCATGTGTCCGAATCAACTGGGGAGGCTTAAAAAATACACATGCTTACGTTTTCCTGTAGTTCTACTGAACCACAATCTCTGAGGGTGGGACCCAAACAAGTGCAGTAAATAAATATTTCTTCTACAGGTGATTCTTATGGGCAACCAGGGCATTACAAATTGTCTGTGTAAAGGCACAGTAGTCATAATTTGGTGATATAATATGTGGTAGTTGTTGGCCTAGGAACATATGTCTTTATTTAAAAAGGCAAATGGCTAAGCATTAGGTTAATATTCAGGGGTTATTGTGTCCTTTATTTGTGTTGAGTACAACACATACTCAGCACAGTGTAATAAAAATACTGACAATGGATAATATGGAAGAAGTTTATATTCTTCACAGTGTATGGGAAGATATGCTTATTTTATTTAGAAATATTGTTATCACAAAGTTGGTTATATTCAAAGCTGACACAATTTCATTAGCCAGAATGAATCTCCTGTTTCCTTATTTCCTTTATATATTTAAAAAAAGAAATCGTGGGTATATATATTTTTTGTTTTGTAGACTATATTTAAGAATAATTTTGAGATTTCTTATTGTTTAATTTTACCTTTAAAATCTTTATTTTCTATTGTATATATTTAAGGTGTACAATGGGATGTTTTCATATACATTGTAAAATTATTATGATTGTTAAGCAAATTAACATCCATCATCTCACAGTTGCCCTATTTTTTGGTGGTAAGCACTGTCTTCATTTTAAAAAGTATATATTTTTTCCTGTTTCTTTTATAATATTGAGCAGATTTCTTTGTCTTTCTGCTCTCATGAGATCAAAAAAGTATTGTGCTAAGCATTAGGAATAAAGAGATCAATGTGGTGTAATACCTGCATTTAAGAAGCCCACAGTCCAGTGGGAAAGAAAGACATGGTAATTAGTTGTTCGGACACAGTGTAACATTTTACATTGGCTGTCTCCTGGGAAAAGTGATTTTTCTCATCTAGTTGCATTTTCATATTGGGAGCTTTTTAGAGTACTGCTGCTGAAAATTGAAAGACATTGCATTTTAGAGGATGGGCATGTGAGCATTATTAATAAAAGTTAAAAGGGCATTGGACAAACATTTTCATTTGGAAAACCTGCTTAGGTTTGGTGAAACTAACTATAGTACAATTTGTTTCCTAACTCTGAACACTTCTAAAAAAACTGATGCCAATACTTATAGTGATAATCTAAACATAAGCAGGGACCTGAAGTACCTTCTTGAACATAAAAATATTATATTGTGTTCAGTATAGAATCACAGACATTGAGGGGACCTTAGAGACCCATCTAACAAAACCCCTTTGTCATGTGAGAAAACTGAAGGAGAGAGTGATTTGTGATTTAGCCAAGGTTTCTTAGCTTATAGGTGCATACAGATATATTATACTTTAATATAGTCCCCAAATGTCAGCTACAAAGCATCTATATTTGCATTAAAAAAGGTTGTTTACTTTTTTAAAAAAGGACCTCTTTCAAATAGGGAAATTCACTTCCATAGCCGATTGATTTTAATTTAATTTTTATTTTCAGTAAACATTTATAAATTACCATCACTATTTAAAAGGGTCTGGTGAAATACTATTTTGATGTATAAGAAACATCTGATATACTTTCAAAATCAGTTATTCTTCATTTCTTGTTGATTTGCTGGTAGTTCCTAACACCTACAATTAAAATTTCTTTGCCTAGGTACCCCCCTTGAGATAGTGAATGCCTGACTACCTATATTCCATGGAAGTTATTTTAGCTGCTATGAAGTCTAGCTCATTTGGGACCATACTCTTGTTCACTTTGGCTTCAATCACCATTGACTAATCAGTTAATTGAAGAGTGAATAGATTGAGAACATTCTTGGCATCCAGGCTAAAATTAGTATGCTATAATGGAATGCTACCAAGATTTATAGACATTGTGATTAAGTAGTCATGTAAAGTTAAATTCTGTGGGTCTTAGTTTTCTTCTTTATACAGTCAGAGAGTTGGATAAGATATCCCTTCCAACTCTGTTATTTTGTGATATACGTCTGTCATCCTAGCTATTGTGCTTCTGTAGGGACTAGTATTAATTACAGCTCACTTGAATGTAGTCATCACAGCTGAGTGGAGTCCTGCATCAAGGGGAAGAACCACTCACTGGGTGGCTTTCTTTCTGCTTCACCCAGGTGGTACGAAATCTGGCATATAATTTATGTATAAAATTTCAGTAAACGGGCCATAGCCTGGAAACATTTGTTGGGGCTCTGCAGATTTTGTTGGTCTTTGCCAGTTTCTTTTTCATTGATGTGGTTAGTTGGCCATTTAAACATTTAAAATAGTATAGTGAAATACTATTTAAAAAAGCTCTTGAGGTCACGTTTTTTGGTCATGCCCCACAATTTACAAGGTTTTATTTTGACTTTTTCTGCCTCTACCTCATTAGTCACAGTCCATTGAAGGGTCTTGAGACTGTTGTTAACAATTTTATTATATTGCTACCAAGCTGGAAGGGAAGGCTGAAGCATAGATTTCTTTTTACATTTTATTTACATGAAATTATGTAGTAGGGAAGGTGGTGGTGGTGCATCTGTGTGTGCTGTATGTGTTAGAAAACAGGGAAATAAGGATACTGGTAGCCCATAAAACTCTCTGCTACATTGAGGGAGTTGGGTATTTCTATTATGACTTCTGATTTTAAATGGAACTAATCAGAAGATGTTGAAAATGGATTCAAGTATTGTTTGGATTTCTTTTTACAGGATGAAGGAGTTGTTAAAGAAATCCCTATTACTCATCATGTTAAGGAAGGCTATGAGAAAGCAGATCCTGCACAGTTTGAGTTGCTCAAGGTTCTTGGTCAGGGGTCATTTGGAAAGGTAATGAATAATTTTTTTCCCCATTTGTTCCTCTTCTAAACATTTAGCAAAAAAAGTGAACACATACGTAGAAATCTGATTAATGAGTCGTTTCTAAACTTCTGAACGGATGCTCACAAAGGTAATTCTTTAATTTTATTCCTTTCATTTCTGTTGTACTTTTATTACCATTTCTTTGTACTTCTCTGTAACAATCAAGGTTTTCCAATTCCCTAGGCTTACTGATTTCTTGAGGGAAAAATATAGCATACTCTTTATTAGCTGCCTAAATCAAAGTAGCTTGATTTTTGTAAAAAATGGTATTCCTATCTCCTTGTTCCCATGCTGGCATGAATACAGCTTGTTTTCTCCTGGTGATTTAATCTACATTTGTTAGCTATGACACAGAAATCAGAATTTATGTCTTAATTCATGTATGAATTCGTCTGTCATCTGTTAAAGTAGAACAAGGGTGTGTAAAGTAGAACAAGGGTAGTTACTGGGTGATATGTGGTTTATTTAAGTCTTCAGAGAGCTTACATTTCAAGGCAGAAAGCAAAATTGAGTAAGAATAACTATTATAGTCGTTACTAAAGTTGTTTATTAAGCACTTAATAACATGGTTTTAGAAAAGAAGTGTATAGGTCTGGTTCCTGACCTTTATATACCTAACATCTAATACATGAAAATTATTGCATACACATAGTAACAGCCTTTAGAAAAACAGCAATTTAGAAAAACCGCAATTTAAGGGGAGAAAGATAAAGAGAAACTACTAATTTCAAGTGGCTGAGATTTAGTTTTAAAGGGGAAAAATAAGGCAATTGAGCATAGGTTATTTATAGTGCTCTGGAACATTTTAAAATAAAGACATTTTTATTTTATTGGGTTTTAGAAATGGGGTCTTGCTCTGTCACCCAGGCTGTAGTGCAGTGGCATGATTGTAGTTCACTGTAGCCTTGATCTCCTGGGCTCAAGTGATCCTTCATCCCCAGCTTCTCAAGGAGCTGATACTACAGGTGTGCACCACCACACCCAGCTAATTAAAAAAAAAAATTTCTGGACACAAGGTTTTGCTGTGTTGCTCAGGCTGGTCTCGAACTCCTAGCCTTAAGTGATCTTCCCACGTTAGCCTCCCAAGGAAAGACATTTATTGAACGCTCAGTGTGTTCACAACAATGTATAAGCAGTATTAGTGACTATAAAATAGATGTCATCTTAAAGTAACCTGATATTTATGCATTATAGAATATAACGTGAAATATAAAGAAACATTTTCAGGACACAAAAAAGACAAACTGAGATGAATTATGGCTTGGCAGTGAATTGGTACAGGAGATATATAAGACAGGGAGATAGGACTTGAACAGTGTTCTGAGGAGAGAAAAACTAGAAGGAACTGTTAATAGATTGGTGGTGGTGGTGGTGGTGGTGGTGATGAAGTTGGTGGGGAATGTTTATAGAACTGATCTGTAGAGTAGGCATGTATATTATATACAACTTTATTTTAAAGTTTCTAAAAGTGTAATATTCTTTTAGCTATTTTGCACTTTATAGCTATTTTTATGGTGTTAATTTTAGAAGAACAGAGATGAAGTTATTTTATATTCCAGATGTATAAATGCTTAAATATTTGACTTAAATAAAATCTCACCAGGCAAACATTTCAAGCTATTAAAATTACCTGCTTTGTCTTTTGATGTATGTATTTACTCATATATGCTTTTGTTTATCTTCAGCTTTGTTCCAGAAAGGATTTAAGGCTTTCATAGATGAATATTAAATAAAATTAAAAATAAGTAGTGAAGATGATGGAAACAGAAAGCTCAGAGCAGGAAAGATTAGATGAAGCCAGGAGTACACTCTGTTCACAAAAGCATGACATAAGGGTCTGTAAGTCCTTTTCTAGTAGGTCAAAAATTAGACTTAAGTTTTCTAGCAGCCATTATAAAGAAGCTAATATATTTGAGTGTATTATAATTGACAGTATTTTAAAGGTGGAAACGGATTAAACAGACCAGAGAAATTTCTCTCATGGGTTTTCTTAAAGAAAATACTGTATAACATAATGAAATATATTCAATAACATCATGTTAAATATAGCAACATGATGAAAAGTTGTCAATGTAGTGCTTAAATTCAGGGAAATCTTAGCTTTGTCTGTGCTGGGATTTAGTTTTAAGAAGAATATCATTGAAACCTTTTAATTCCTAATATTAAAGTACAAAATAGTGATCTTTATGTAGTTCATCAACCAAAGAAATATTAAGGAGGTGGCTTTTTTTTCCCCCTAGGATATGAACATACTTGCTTGTCAGTGTTACATCATTTGCGGAGGCATTGTGTAGGTGTGACTTGTTATATGCTGAACCTATTCAGGAATTTGGCCAAGGCTGTGAATCAGATAAGTGTAGGAGCAATTCCAAGAGACTTTGAGCTGCAGAGTCTTAAGTTTTTCTTCAAAAGTTCCATTGTTAAAATGCAGTAAATGGGATTTTAGCCCATATAAAGCCTTATAACATTAAATGTTTTTATTGTCTATTTAACAGTGGGGGAACCCTGCTAAAGTCAACTTAAAATTGTAGTTTAAGGAAGCATGCATTATTATCATGAAAGGTGCATATACAATTCTGTCCTAAGCACACCAAGTATAATGCTATTAATGATCATTAATGTATGGGTTGAAAGGTATACTAAACAACTTACATTAATTATTTTAAAACACAAACACATGAAAATACCTTTGAAATTGTCTGATTAGTCGTCCTTATATATCATGTGCCAAATAATATTTATATAAAACATACATTTTAATATTTGTGGATTATAAAAAAATACTTTTGCTTTTGTGATAGTAAAGACTTTAAGTACAGGACTTAAAAATGAATTTTTGAAAATATCGAATACTTGTACTCTTAAATAAGTGATCAACTCTCAAGTGATAGTTTTTAAAAACATATGCTTACATCTTAAAATTTCCTGAAGTTGGTTCTTTCTCTTCAAACAGCATTTAAATATGTGTGATCTTCTAGTTCACTGCAGTTACTGAATATTCTTATAGGAAAATATAAACGTCCATGTGATTGAGAGAAAATTATATTGGAGTAACTCACCCATTCTTTTGGACAATTTCCCATGATTGGATTAGGGTGACTGAAAAGAAGCCTCTTATCAATATAGATACGTTTTTAGGTCCACTAGTTTGAAGCCATGCAACAACTTTTTTACTTTAATTATTTCTTTAAGCACCCTATCCTCAAATACAGTCATGTTCCAAGGTACTGGGAGTTAGGACTTTAACATATTAACTTTGAGGGGACATAATTTAGTCCATGGCGTACTTGTATCTATTTCTTTAAAGGGCATGATGTTTCTGACAAATTTCTCTGTCCTCAAGTTCACAGTTTATTTCTGTATCCCCCAGTGTCCAGCACAGTGTCTGATACAGAATATGTGCTTAATGACTGTTAATTTGTTGATTGAATAACTAATGAGTACATATATGGGAAGATAAGGTGATATAGCACAACTTTATTATACCAGGATAGGGAAATTTTTCAAGGATGATTTAGGAAAAAAGAAATAGATCACAGATAAGTACATTGTCACCTTATTTCAAGTTAGGTTGTTACTACTGTCAAGCTTTTGGAATGGTGCAGAACCTGAAGAAAGTGAGGTGGAAGGAGGAGGGAGAGTTTCAGATGACAAAGAAGGACATTATAATAGTAAAAATCAATAAACATAGCCTTGGGAAGGTTGAGAAATGTTAGGCAATAGACAAGAATGGGATGGAAAAAGAACTACTTTTGTAGTTGATTTTGGGAAGGGGGCAGTGAGATACGATATTTTCTCATGCTAGGAAAGTCACTCATAAGACCTGAAAAAAAAGAAAAAACAGATCAGGTGTTAAACAGGTTACTTCTCTAGACTGCGAATGATGGATCCTATTAAATGCCATATTGGGATACTACTGAATATTAGAAGAACTAGGGGAAAAAAGTGGCTCCTTTATGCAACAGTGTCTTCAGAAAGCCTAGACTCTTTCTTTCTTCCTTGCTTGCCTCTTCTCACTCTTCATATTCCGTTCTTTACAATCCCACTAAGGGCTATGTTTTGTAAGAGTGGTTCTGAAATTGTGGTCTCCGTACCCCTGGACAATCCCAAGACTTTTCAGGGAGTCCTCAAGTCAAAACTACTTCACAGTCATCCTAAGATATTGTTTGTACAACTGCTGGCATGTTGGCCAATCAAGGCAGTGACTTCAAATGGTACCAGTAGTCATTGTAGTCTTCATTTTATTACATATGCAGTTTAAGAATGTCCTTGATGAGACATTAACAATTATTACATTTATTAAATCTCAATCCTTGAATACCCTTCTTTTGAATAATATGCGATGAAATAGGAAGTACATGTGAAGCCCCTTAGCCACGTAACAAAATAGAATGGTTGTCTCAAGGCAGAGGACTTGTGCAAATTTTTTGAGTTGTGAGCTGAACCAACCACTGTTTTTATGGATCACCACTTTTCCTTGAAAGGACAATAAACTATGGTTACCTAAATATGCTTATTTCGTAGGTGTTTTCTCAAAAATGAATGGAGTGAGCCTGTTCATAGAAAAACAACTGATACTCTTTTTGTCAATGGTAGAATCTGAGCTTTCCAGCAAATAATTGAATTTAGGCAAATGTATATTTGCCACATTGACGTCATTTTCTTGATGCAGCTATACTTATTTTTATTATGCTTCCCTTCATTGCACTTCACAGATATCCTTCACTTCATTGCGCTTCACAGATATGTATGTGTGTATATATATGTATATGTGTGTGTGTATATATATATATCTATATATATCCTATATATCTATATCTATATATATCCTATATATCTATATCTCTATATATCCTATATAGCTATATATATATCTATATATCCTATATATATCTATATATCCTATATATCTATATATATCCTATATATATCTATATATATCTATCCTCTATATATCTATCCTCTATATATCTATCCTCTATATATCTATCCTCTATATATATATCCTCTCTATATATCCTCTCTCTATATATCCTCTCTATATATATCCTCTATATATATATCCTATATATATCCTCTATATATATATCCTATATATATCCTCTATATATATATCCTATATATATCCTCTCTATATATCCTATATATATCCTCTATATATATATATCCTATATATATCCTCTATATATATATATCCTATATATATCCTCTCTATATATATATCCTATATATATCCTCTCTATATATTCTCTATATAGTCCGTGTCTCATATTTTGGTAATTCTTGCAGTGTTTCAAATGTTTTCCTTACTGTTATATCTGTTATGGTTCTTTGTGGTCTGTGATCTTTGATGTTAGTGTTGTCATTGTTTCGGGGTGCCATGAACCACGCACACATAAGACAGTGAGCTTCATTGATAACTGGTGTGTGTGTTCTGGCTATTTTACTGACCAGCTGTTTCCCCATCTCTCTCTGTCTCCTTGGGCCCCTCTATTCCCTGACCTGCAAGAATATTGAAATTGGTCTAAGTAATAACTCTATAGTGGCCTTGGAGTGTTCAAGGGAAAGGAAGTGTTCTGCATTTGTCACTTTAAATCAAAAGCTACAAATTATTAAGCTTGGTGAGGAAGGCATGTCAAAATCTGAGGTAGGCTAAAAGCTAAGGTTCTTGTGCCAAACAGCCAAGTTGTGAATGCAAAGGAATGTTCTTGAAAGAAATTAAAATTGCTACTCCAGTGAACATATAAATAAGAAGAAAGTGAAACAGCCTTATTACTGATATGGAGAAAGTTTTAGTGGTCTAAATAGAAGATCAAAGCAGCCACAACACTCCCTCTAGCCAAAGCCTAATCTAGAGCAATTCCCTAGCTCTCTTTAATTCTGTGAAGGCTGAGAGAGGTGAGGAAGCTGCACAAGAAAAGTTTGAAGCCAGCAGGGGTTGGCTCATGAAGAGAAAAAGGAAAGAAGCCATTTTCGTAACATAAAAGTGTAAGGTAATGCTACAGATGCTGATGTAAAAGCTGTAGCAGGTTAGTCAGAAGATCTAGCTAAAGTAACTCTTGAAGGTGGTTACACTAAGCAACAGGTTTTAATTGTAGAAGAAACAGCCTTCTGTTGGAAGAAGATGCCATCTAGCCTTTCATAGCTAGAGCGAAGTCAGCGCCTAGCTTCATAGCTTGGAAGGACAGGCTGACTCTCTTGATAGAAGCTAGTGATCCTGGAACTTTTAAGTTGAAGCCAATGCTCATTTGCCATTCCAAAAATTCTAGGGCCTTTAAAAATTATGTTAAATCTACTATGCCTATGCTCTATAAATAGAACAAAGCCTGAATGACAGCACATCTGTTTATAGCATGGTGTGCTAAGTATTTTAAGCCCACTGTTGAGACCTACTGTTCAGGGAAAAAAAAAGACATTTCTCAAAATATTACTGCTCATTGGCAATACTCCTAGTTACCCAAGAGCCCTGATAGAGATGTACAAGGAGATTAATGTTGTTTTCATGCTTGCTATTACAGTATCCATTCTGCAGCCCATGAAACAAAGAATAATTTTGACTTTCAAGCCCTATTATTTAAGAAATACATTTTGTAAGGCTATAGTTGCTGTAGATGGTGATTGCTCTGATGAATCTGGGCAAAGCAAATTGAAAACCTCTGGAAAGGACTTGCTATTCTAGATGTCATTAAGAACATTTGTGATTCATGGGAGGAAGTCAAAATATCAACATTAACAGGAGTTTGGAAGAAGTTGATTCCAACCCTTATGGATGACTTGGAGGGGCTCAAGACATCATTGGAGGAAATCACTGAAAATGTGGTGGAAATAGCAAGACAATTAGAAGTGGAACTAAAGATGTGACGGAAGTGCTGCAGTCTCATGATAAAACTTGAATGGATGAGGAGTTGCTCCTTGTGGATGAGCAAAGAAAATAGTTTTTTTGAGGTGAAATCTACTTCTGGTGAAGATGCTATGAACATTGTTGAAATGACAGTAAAGGCTTTAGAATATTACGTAGACTTCTTTAATAAAGCGGTAGGATTTGAGAGGACTGAGTTCACTTTTGAAAGAGATTCTACTGTGTATAAAATGCTATCAAACACCATCAAATTCTATAGAAAATTATTTCATGAAAGGAAGTCAATCTGTGCAACAAACTTCATCATTGTCTTATTTTAGGAAATTGCCACAGCCACCCTAACCTTCAGCAGCCACCACCCTGATCACTCAGCAGCCATCAACATTGAGGCAAGACCCTCCACCAGCAATAAGATTATATCTCACTGAAGACTCAGATGATCATTAGCATTTTTTAGCAATAAAGCATATTTAATTAAGGTATATAGGGTCATAATATTTGTTTGCTCTTTATTAAGGTAACAAAAAGTGGGCCTGGGTCTTAAAAGGAGGTATGTAGCTCAAGTTTGTCTTTCATTATGTTATTTATCTCTTACATCACAAAATTCTCAAAGTTCAGTACCAGGTCATCTATTTTAAAAATTTTCCTTTCTATAGTAGTATTTATATGCATTATGATTTATTAAATCATAACAGTTTTTTTGATTAAAAACTAAATTAAATCTAAGAAAAGTGAGAAAATAATAATGTAAATTATAGAATAATTTATAGGAGAAGGTATAACTTTTTTCATTTATTTTTTTAAATTGACAAATAGTTGTACATATTCGTGGGGTACATAGTGAAGTTTCAATACGTATAATGTATGGGGATCAGATCAGGGTAATTTTGCATCCTTCAACAAATCTCTCACTATCTCTCCCTTCCCTCTATGGGAAGGCATATGTTTATAAAATTAGAGAAAATGCAAGGATATAAGTGTATGCTGGTGTGTTTGTGTAGAGCAAGAATGACTAGAAATGTGAATTTTCCTTTTTTTTTTTGTTCAATTTTCTATTAGGTTTTTCTTGTTAGAAAGAAGACCGGTCCTGATGCTGGGCAGCTCTATGCAATGAAGGTGTTAAAAAAAGCCTCTTTAAAAGGTAGAAAATTAGAAAGTTTATTAAAATAGAATTTGACAAAGTGTAGTTTAAGAAATATGCTGTGTATTACTTGCATAAGGTGAATAGATGTAGCTATTTTTAACATTGGTATTTGTGGCAGTTTTTCTAACCTGTAGGTAATATTACTAGATTTGATATTGGCATATGCCTTAACTTAGTGAGAGTGCACCCCCGTAAAAATTTGATGCTAGAAAAAGTGACATATTTCATTTAATTTAAACTTATTAACTTAATTAGGATATATTCTCTTCTTTCAAGATTCTTGGTTTTTCCTTTTCTATCTGTGTCAGTATTACATATTGAGAAAGCACAACCATTTGCACACACTATCTTTTAGGGTGTGATAAAAATACCGCTTATGATCAGTTTTAATCAGTAAACTCATTTGAACAATTAAAAGAGATTAATAGGCCGGGCATGGTGGCTCACACCTATAATCCCAGCAGTTTGAGAGGCTGAGGTGGGCTGAACCCTTGAGCCCAGCCCAGGAGTTCAAGACCAGCCTGAGTAACCTGGTGAAACCCTGTCTCTACAAAAATTACAAAAATGAGCCAGGTGTAGTGGCATGCACCTATAGTTCCAGCTGCTCGGGAAGCTGAGATGGGAGGATTGTTTGAGCCTGGGAGGTGGAGGTTGCAGTGAGCTGAGATTGTGCCGCTGCAGTCCAGCCTGGACAAGAGAGCAATACCCTGTCTCAACAACAACAACAACAAAAGATGAACACATAATAAATGCATATTAGCTACATACCTGTTTATGCCACCTTAACCTGTCTCTAGATGTAATGAATATTTTTGCTTTCTGAGAATATGGTCATTATCTAGGAATATGAAAACTGCAAATTTCGGCATTTAGGAAGTTACGTTTTGTATTTTTATATTTGTTGTTTGGTAAATTATTGATGGACTCTTAACTGAAATGATGTAAGAGAGCAATATATTGTACCTTTATGTAATTTTTAGTTCGAGACAGAGTTCGGACAAAGATGGAGAGGGATATACTGGTGGAAGTAAATCATCCATTTATTGTCAAATTGCACTATGGTATGTAATCTTTTTTTATTCTTTTATTTATTTTAATCCTTATTTATTAATATGGAATTAGAGAATTATGATTTCCTTTCACACAATACTATAACAGGAAATAAATACTTTAGACTTAGTATATTCAGCTACGTAAAATGTATTTGTCTGAAATAAATATCAGTATTTAGTTATTAGTTATATGTCCTTCATTTTTCTAAGTTGATTAACTTGTTTAAAGTAACAAGATAGTGTTTTTCACTTACCTGTCTGGTAGTATTTATGTACTTTGCTAGGCTGTAACTTCATAATCTTAGACTATAAACTATTGTGATAATTTACGTAAAACATTCAGTTGCTTGTTCATAATGACCACACTTATCTGTTTCCTGGTTATATTCCAGAGGACCATGTAGTTATGTTAGTCTACTTGAGTTATTTTTTTATACTTAATGGGAGAGGACTACCAGTAAGAAGCAGTAGATGTAATGGAAAGAACATGAGCTTTGGAGTTAGACATTTCTGAATTTGAATCATGGCTCCATTGCTAATTTAACATATGGTTGAGATCAACTCTATCTATTTATCTATCGTCTATCTACCTCTGATATAGTGTACTTTGTCACTTCCATTTTTCTATATTTAAAAAAGTAGCAGCTGTTGATTTTATTCTTAGTGTAATTTTGACAAATAATACATTAAAATATATACCCAGTTATCACTATTAAAATCCCATAAGAAATTTCCACCCATTATTCTTTTACTCCTTGTTATACTAACAGAATAAAAAAAGTAACATCTAAAGACCTTCCCGTGTCTGTAGTAGGTCCATCAGTAAACACTTATTGTGTGCAAAAATACTGTATTAAATTCAGTGGGCTATAGAAGTGAAACACTTTTTGACCTCAAGAAATTTATAACCTATAGAGAACACAGAGATGTAAAGAAATTAATTGCATAAATCAAAATGGAATAAGTACTATTAAGGAGGTATAAATATAATAAGATCTGAAAAGTAGCAGCAAGTAATTTCAATAAAGAAGAGGTTGAGGAAGCTGTTGAAAAATGTGAAAAGGGGGAAATCCTGGAAAGTTTAATAGAGGAAGTGGCATTTTTCTTCAGCTTTATAGAATTTGTAGATTTTCAGTAGGTTTGATAGGCTAAGTTTAGGCAATTGCAGTATAACATGCTTCATAAATTAGGAAATTTTTGGTGGTAGAAGTTCTGTGTAAAGCCACATTCAAGGGTGATTATGTTCTGGGAAGGGGTTTATAGCTATTTCTACACTGGATTAAACACTGGGTTTAATTTTGAGATGTTATCCATTAATGAACCATGTGAGTAAATACTGTAAAATTCTAAACATATATTAATTTAAAAGCATACTAAGCTTTTTAAGCCTTTGAGATTATCCTGTTACTATATTCTAATTTTTAATTAGCCTTTCAGACTGAAGGGAAACTGTACTTAATACTGGATTTTCTCAGGGGAGGAGATGTTTTCACAAGATTATCCAAAGAGGTAAGTATCTGTACATTTTTACTGTATTTTCTTAAAACAAAACTAAGAAAAATCACTTTTGTTCTTCTGCTAATTACATTTTTCCTATTGAAATTTTAAATGGTAACTACTCTGTTTCATTGCATAGTATTTGGTAATGTGCCTGTTAATGGCATTTTCTATCATCTCAATGTGCTACTCATTATTTTCTTAGGCAAAAGAACAATATGAATAACTGGATAAAGTAGATACGGGCAAGCCTAGGACTTTGGCTACTCAAGCTACCTAAACACCTCTGGGAGTAGTGTTTATTCATTTTAAAATAGCTTTATGGAGGTATAATTGACATACAATAAACTGTACATACTAAAGTATACAATTTCATAAGTTTTTACATTTGTATATAACTGTGAAACCATCATTACAATAAGAATAATTAGCATATCTGTCATTCCCGAAAGTTTTCTTGTGTCCCTTTGTGATGCCGTCCTCCTGCCCTAACCCTACTGAATCTGCTTTCTGTCACTATTTGGTTTGTACTTTCTAGGAGTTTATATAAATGGAATCATATAGTATATTCATTTTTTTTGTCTGGCTTAACATAAGTACTTTGAGATTCATCTATGTTGTATGTACTAATAGTTTATTCATTTTTATTGATGGGTAGTATTACTGATTGTATGGATACATCATGATTTGTTTATCATTCACTTGTTGATGGATTTTTGGGTCATTGCAGTTTTTGATATTACTAATAAAACTGCTATAAACATTCATGTACAAGTGATTGTATCATATGTTTTCGTTTCTCATGGGTAAATACCTAAGAGTATAATGACTGGGTCATGTGCTAGGTATATGTTTAACTTTTAAAGACACTGCCAAACTGTTTTCCAAAGTGATTATATAAATTTTACATTCCCACCAGCAGCGTAAGAGAGTTTCAGTTGCTCCACATCCTTGCCAACATTTGGTATGGTCAGTCTTTTAAAATTTTTGAACATTAGATTAGTTTTTAGTGGTATCCCATTGTGGTTTTGAATTACATCACACTAATGACTAATGACATTGAGCATCTTTTCATGAGCTCATTTGCCATCTATCCTCTTGGTAAAATGTCTGTTTAAATTTTTAGCCTGTTTTTTTTTATTGGATTGTTTGTTTTCTTATTGAGTTTTGAGAGTTCTTCATATATTTTGGATGTAAGTCCTTGATCATATATGTTATTTGGAAATATTTTCTTCTGGTCTATAGTTTGTCTTTTCATTCTCTTAACAGTGTATTGAAAAGCAGAAGTTCTTAATTTTGGTGAAGTCTGATTTATAGGATTTTTTCCCTTTATTAATTGTGTTTTTAGTGTCCTTTGTAAGGCATATCTGCCTAATCACAGCTAAAGATTTTCTCTTATGTTTTCTAGAGGTTTTGTAGTTTGCATTTTACATCTAGATTTAGGATCCGTTTTGAGTTCATTTTAGTATATGGTTACAGGTATGTGCAGAAGTCCTTTTCATTTGTTCACATAGATAGCCAGTTGTTATAGCATCATTATTGGAAAAGTCTGTCTTTTCTTCACTGAATTACCTTACATTTTTCTTGAAAACCAGTTGATCATATATATGAAGGCCTATTTCTGGATACTCTGTTCTGTTCATTGATCCATTTGTCTATCTTTATGACAATACCACACTGTCTGAATTACTGTACCTTTATAATATGTCTTGAAGTGAGGCAGTGCGAGTCCTTGAGCTTTGCTTTTCTTTTTGAAAGTTTGGCTCTTCTAGGTCCTTTGCATTTCCATATCAATTTTAAAATCGGCTTTTCACTTTGTACAAAAATGTCCTGCTGGGATATTGGTTGGAATTTTATTGAATGTATAGGTCAATTTGCAGATAAGTTACATTTTAGTAATATTGAGTCTTTTAATTGATGAACGTGGTATCTTTCTCAATTTATTTAGGTCATCTTTAATTTCTCGCAGTATTGTTTTCAGTGTAATTCTTGCAATTCTTTTGTCAGATTTACCTCTAAGTAAATCCTGTTTTTAATGTTATTGTAAATAGAATTGACTTCCTAATTTCAATTTTAAATTGGATGGAAACACAACCGATTTTTTGTGTATTGAGCTTGTTTCCCACAGTCTAGCCAAACTTAATACTTCTAGCAGCTTTTAGAAATAGATTTCAAAGGTTGAGAAAGTTTTCTGTAACTATTTTTGAGAGTTTTATAAAAAATCAGGAATCAATTTCAGATTTATTCAAATGCTTTTTCTTCATTTATTGAGATTATAATTTTTTTTAGTCTTACTGTGGTGAATTACATCGATTGATAGTCAGATGTTGAACCAACCTTGCATTTATGGATGAACCCCACTTAGTCTTGATGTATTACCCTTTTTATAAATTGTTGGACGATATTTGCTGAATATTTAAGAATTTTTGCATCTATTTTTATGAGGGATATTTATGATTTTCTTGTATTATTATGTCTATTTTTGGTATTAGAGTAATTCTGACTCCATAGAATGAGTTGGGTGTAGTTTTTGCCTCTTTAACTTTCTGGGAAAGTTTATGTAGATTCAATGATAAATTGCCCTTAAATGATTGATAGAATTCACCAGTGAAGGCATCTGAACCTGAAGTTTTTCTTATAGGAAAGTATTTAACTCCAAAATCAATTTATGTAATAGACTTGGGTTATTTATTTTTGAGTGAGCTTTGCTAACTTGTGTCTTTTAAGGAATTTGTCTATTTCATCAAAGTTATGAAATTTATTGGCATAAAAATGTTCATAATATTCCCTTATTGTCCTTTTTGTAGTTGTGGAATTGTTAGTGATGTCACTGCTCTCACTTTTGATGTTGGTAATTCATGTTTGCTCTGTTTTTGTTCTGCTTAGCTTCACTAGAGATTTATCAATTTTATTACTCTCAAAGAAACAGCTTTTGGTTTCATTGATTTTTCTGTATTCTATTTCTGTTCTATTACATTGTTTTCTGCTTTAATCTTTTTTACTGCTTATTTTATGTATTAGCTTTTCTTTTTCTGGTTTTTAAGATGGGAGCTGAAGTTATTGATTTGAGGCCTTTCTTTTCTAATAATGTAGGTGTTTAGTGTTATAAATTCCCCTCTGAATACTGCTTTAGGGTCATCTCACAAGTTTTGATATGCATCATTTTTATTTTCTCTCAGTTCAGTGTACTTTATGATTTCCTTTCTATTTCTTTGACCCATTGATATTTAGAAGTCTGCTTAATTTACAAATATTTGGGCATTCTTTCACATATCTTTCTATTGTTGATTTCTACTGTAATGTTCTTGTGGTCATAAAGCATACTTTGTATGACTTTAATTCTTTTAAACTTATATTTGCTTTATGCTTCAGAATGTCGTGTATCTTGGTAAATGTTCCATGTCCACTTGAGAAGAATGTGTATTCTGCTATTTTTGGGTGGTGGAAGGTTCTATAAATGTGGACTGGATCAAGTTGTTTGATAGTGATATTAAATTGCCTATATTCTTTCTAATTTTCTGCCTATTCTACAAATTTTTGAGACAAGGATTGACACCTTTTTACTTTAATTATGAATTTGTATATTTCTTCTTGAATTTCTGTTAGTTTTTGTTTCATATATTTCAAAGTTCTGTTATTAGGTACATAAACCTTTAGGTTTATTATTCCCTCTTGATGAATAGACCCCTTCATCGTTATGATATGACATGACTGACTTTATCCCTGGTAATGTTCTTTTCTTCAAAATCTTATTTGATACTAACATGGTCACACCAACTATTTTCTAAAAAAGTAGTGTTAGTTTGGTATATCTTTTTCCATATTTTAACTTCAGCCTATGTGTGTCTTTATATTTTAATGTGTGGTACTTAAGGAAGCATAGTTTCCTTGTTTTTTAATCCAATCTGAGAGTCCACGTCTTTTAATTGGGATATTAGACCTGTTACATTTAATATGATTATTTTTGTAGTTCTATTTAAATCTACTATCTTGCTATTTGGGATTTTTTTTGGTCCCATTTGTTCTTTGTTCTTGTTTCCCTCTTCTCCTGGCTTCTTTTTAATTACTTTTTTTTTTTTTACAATTTCATTTTTATCTCTGCTGTTGTCTTGTAGATATTATCCATAACACTTTGTTGTGTAATTTAATAGTTACCTTAGGATTTGTAGTATAAGTTTTAACTCAGAGGTCAGGAAAATATGGTCTTCAGGCTAAATTTGGCCAGTTATTTTTCTTTGTAAATAAAGTTTTATTGGAACACAGACATACTCATTTGTTTAAGTATTGTCTGTGCCTTATTTTGTACTTCAATGGAATCATACTTGCATAGTCATTTTTACTGGATAGCAGGCATGGTGGATTTAATTTTCTTACATGCTAGATACCTTTATTTTCATATAAATAGTATTTAGCTTTTTTCTAGGATGCAGTTCATTTTCTTGTAAACACTTTGATCATTTTGGGCCTTGTGTTTAAGCTTTGTCATGTGGGACTAGGGAAGTATTTAGTTTAAGATTAATTTTTCCTCAGTATGAAGCATGTCCTTTCTTATACTCTAACAAAGACTCTTTGAATTATGAGGCTTTTCATTCTAACTTTTGGGAAGAGGAGCTATCTCAGTCCTTTGTGAGCTGAGTGGGTTCTTTCTTTTAATCTTTTAAGGTTTTTCTTTTCCTGGGCTTGGGCTTGGGTAGTTTCCTCAGATCCATGTTTGACTATATATATATATATGTATGTTTTTTTTTTTTTTTTTTTTGAGATGGAGTCTCAGTCTATTGCCCCGGCTGGAGTGCAGTAGCGTGATCTCAGCTCACTGCAACCTCTGCCTCCCGGGTTCAAGTGATTCTCCTGCCTCAGCCTCCTGCATAGCTGGGACTACAGGTGCACAGTTAGCCCGGCTAATTCTTGTATTTTTAGTAGAGATGGGGTTTCACCATGTTGGCTAGGCTGGTCTCAAGCTCCTGACCTCAAGTGATCTGCCTGCCTTGGCCTCCCAAAATGCTGGGATTACAGGCATGAGCCCCAGTGCCTGGCCCATGATTGACAATTTTTTATTAGATGGCAGACATTGTGACATTTAGCTTGTTAAGGTGATGAACATTTTTGTATTTCTGTAACTATTATTGATCTCTGTTCTGAGATATAAAACTAGTTTGATTATTATAGGTCTTTTAAAGTTCGTTAGATTGGACTAACACAGCTTTCAGTCGGGTTAATTTTGCTCCACTACTGAAGCAAAATCCTTCTGATTACTTTATCTGATGTCCTATGAATTATGAGATTTTCTGCTCTGGCTGAAGGCAACAGGAACTATTCCTGGCCCATCGTGAGTTCATCGACTGGTTCCTCTAACCCTTCGTTGTTTTCCTGGTTTAGGGTAATGTCCTCACTCATATGTGCTGAGTATTTCTCCACTGAATACTTGAAGGAGACTGTCTGCATATCTACAGAGTTCTCTTTGTGCAATTTTCTCTTCTCTAATACTCCATCCTGTGAATTTTGTCCTCCTTCTCTAAGACTCTCTGTTCTGGCTTATCTACTCAGGAAGTCTTTCAGGCTCCACCTGACTTAGCCCTCCCTGTACTACCACTTGGAAACTCTTTCCAGGTAGTAAGCTAAGGCAGTTGTGGGGCATACGTCATTTGTCCCCTGTCTCTCAGTATTCAGTGTCCTTTGTTGCCTGATGTCCAATGTCTTAAAAGTATCATTTCATACGTTTTGTCCTGTGTTTTAGATTTTTCAGGCATGAGATTAAATCCTGTCTTTGTCTGCTTCATTTTTCTTTAAGTAGTAGTCTGGGAGTAGCATTTTAATTGGGTGATAGTAGTTCAATGTCTTACTTCCAGAATTTACAGTGTAGAATGTGGGAGAGCTACTGTTGATTCCCAGAGCTCTGGAACTTGCTGTGATAAAGGAACAGTGTGTTTCTGGTATGCTAGCCAGTGCTTAAGTGGCTAAGGTCTCTGGCTTATATCTGTCTACCTCCAGTGTAGAATGTGCCATGCGTGAGCATAGGGTGTGTTATTGGTATATTATTAACTATAGAACATAATTCAATATCTGAAAAGGATTGTCTAGGACCCCCTTCTAAGGAGGGTCTTTAAAGGACCTTGTTAAAAACTGGTACCAAGGCATAGAAGGACAACAGTATAATAAGGCTCCATTATTCATGATTTCTTGCGTTAGATTTTAGAAGTGTCACAAATATGTTTGAGAAATTCTTGTAGTCATTTCTAATTTTCTTTTAAACTCTTCAGACCTCCATTCTCGATGTGGGACTATCTAAACCCATACTAGCACAGAGATGCAGTCAGTAAGTTTTGATTCCTAAGTCTGGAATATTAGGTAAGAGCAAGCATTTTAAATGCGTTACCCAAAAGATGATAAATTAGTACATTGATTGAGCAGCCTTTTAAAAAATGATTCAATGGTTACTTCTGTAGACAGCTTATTAATAATTAGATGTTTGTTGGTTATACTTCACTTGTGTGTACAAAAAATTGTTAATCCAAAATGAGGACATGTTTTTATACCTTAGAAAAAGACTTTTTAAATACATTTTTGTATGTTTTAAAGAATTTTATAATGTATGTCATTTGTATTTTAAAGGGAAAGATACCTACCCAAATTTCCCTTCCTCAGAATGTACACACACACACACACACACACACACACACACACACACACAAATACACAGGTAAACAAACAGAACTCTTAAGCTGTGCTCTATTTTCCTTATTCAAGAAAATGTGGTAGAATGAATGGCTGATTATTGTAAAGCTGTCAGTTCTTCTAAAATTAATTTATTGGCTTAACAAAATTCCAAATAAAGCCACAATAGGGATTTTTGTTTGTTTGATGTTGACAGAATTATTTTATAGTTTCCTTGGAAAAGTAAACAAATGCAAAGAAATAATATTTTTGTTTGTTTGTTTTTTGAGACAGGGTCTTGCTCTGTCCCCAGGCTGGAGTGCAGTGGCACTATCCTGGCTCATTGCAGCCTCAACCTCCCATGCTCAGGCAATCCTCATGCCTCCGCCTCCCGAATAGCTTGGACTACAGAAGCGTGCGCCACTATACCAGGCTATTTTTTTTTTTCAGTAGAGATGGGATCTTGCTATGTTGCCTAGGCTGGTCTCAAACTCCTGGGCTCCAGTGATCCTCACGCGTTGGCCTCCCCAAATTCTCTTGTTTAAAACTTGGTAATGTGCATAAGCAAAACATTATAGTATCAACACAAGATTGGAAACATACTGTATAGCCCAAAAATATCCTGTTATAGATTACTTACCCTATATCATTATGATAAAGGAAGAATCACAAATTGTGGCAAAGAGGTTGTTCAATAAACAGTATTTGAGAAATTGCTTAAATATTTCCAAAAATCATTTTAAAATGCCATCTCTACCATATACAAAAATAAATCTTACTTACATAAAAAAGCTAAATCTTGAAAAACAATTACCCTATAATAAAATGCAGCTAAATATTTTGTTGACCATTGGATGGAGAATGTCTCCTTAAACATTAAAATAATGAAGGAAAAATCATACAGAAATCATCATACATTTGACTAGCAAAAATTAAGGATTACTGAACATCAAAAACTAGCACAAAATTGGATAAATATTTGCAGCTAATATGATAGAAAACTGACATTTTTAACATTTAAGTGACTTGTACCAATTGACAAAACAGTAAGTCAGTAATAGAAAATAGGCACAAACATTACTGATAATTCACAAAAAAGTAGAAAGACTACTAAACATGAATAACAATGTTCAGCCTAAAAATCAAAACTTAAATTTAAAAAATAATGCCATTTTCACACATCAAATTTGAAAAGGCTTTTTACAGGGTATATTCCATGCTATCAAGGATGTGGTAAGACAGATGCTTTCGTAAACTGCTGATGGGAGTGGAAATTACTATAACCTTTTTGGAAAATAATTTTATCGTGTATGTCAGGAATCTTGGACTATTTATGCTCCTTGACCCAGCATTCCATTTTTAAAAAAAAATTCTTAATTCATTTTGAGAAAATGATCATAAATATCAGTAAGATGTACATATGCATATTGCAGAGTTATTTCAAATAGAGAAAAAATGGAAATAACCTAAATGTCAAGAAGGGGAATGTTTAGGTAAATTACAGTAAATTGGTATGGTTATATTGTGCAGCTATTGAAAACTATTTATAAATAAGTTTTAAAGACATAGAATGCTTATGATATAGTATTAACTGGGGATAAATGAGGTCACTAAATAGTACTTATACAGTAGTGTGATTTCAACTGTATTAAAATACACATGGACACATTCACACACAGATATGCACAAAAAATTTGAAAAGCAGATGACAAAATATTAAAAGTGCTTTACTCAAGAGTACTGGAGTTTAGGATAATTTTCATTTTGTAGGGGGGGCAATTTATGAGTAGGACGATTAGTGGGTTGGAAAGCATTATTGGTAGTAAACCTAAAATTTGTTTTTAGAAAAGCAAACATTGCATCACAGCATGTGGCAGAAGTGGCTTCTGGGAAAGAGTTCATTCTTATGGACAAGTATCCCTGAGTTCATGTCTTGGGCCTCCTTCTTAACTAGCTGTGTTATTTTGGACAAGTTACTTAATCACTCTGAGTTTCTTTCTCCATTTGCAAGGTGTTCCTAATACCTACCTCATAGAGTTTGGAAGCTATAATAACATAATGATTGTACAGTGCCTGGCACATAATTGCTACTTAGTAATGTTTTATTTGCATCTATCATGAGGCTTTCTACCAAGACAACCTCATGACAAGGTGATAGGCTTGCATAACTGTAACTAGGCAAAGTTTTTTTCTAATTTAGTTTTAAATAATTTTTATTTAGGGTTTTCTTACGTATTAGCTTTCAGAGAACATTCTTATTATCCTTGGTTAGAAGTTGAATAGGCAACAGTTATTTTTATTCTTAATAAAAAGTCAAGTGAAAGTGATGTTTTTATATTTTTACCATTATAATATTCAAATTAATGCTCCCAAAACTTAGATAATAAACAATCTTTGTTTTTCTATTCATCATTTTAAAAAGTAGTTAGCATATCAGAAGTTATTAACTACTAATTCTCTGCAATTTTACTAGTAACCTGGATCTGCATTGTGAAATGCAGTGGCCGTAATTCTAAATGGGCAAGCAGGTTGTAAGCTATTATGACATGTACTTTATGCAATTTTGAGCCTTCTTAATAATCCAGAGGTTTCTTTATGAAAATAACCCATTTTTAGAAAAATATTTGATTTTGCCAATCCGGAGTTCTTGCTAAACCTTAAAAATTACATCTAATGGCTGATTAGTGTCCAGTTCTATGTGTAAATGAATACTCACTAGTGAATGAATTTAGATGTAAACCTATAATAATAGTACCATATGGTTATATATATAGTTTTTTAAAGTTTACAAAGCTTTTTTTCCACATAAACTGATTTGATTCTTACGACAACCTTGTTAGGTATATACAGCAGATATTATTGTCCTGTTTCACAGATTTAGAAACTGAGGCCCAAAGGGCTAAGTGACATGTCTGATATTACACTGCCAATTCTGATTTCAAGTTCATTACTCTTCACTTCATCATAGCAGCCGTATTTCCAGACACAAAATGATTAATACAGTGCCATTACACTCGTATACATTACTAACAGAAGAGGCTTGGATCCACCCCTTAGGTCAGAGATGAGTTCACAATTGTGTGTAAGATAAGGGTACTAATTTAACAACTTGTGGCAGTGTAGTAAAAGCTTTGGGTTTGTAGAGCCCCTAAAAGTGAAATTTCTGAGAAATGATACTAGACAGTAAAAGAGAGAATGGTATAAATAGTGGAATTCTCAGAGCTAAAACAAAATAACTTCTATATTTCAAATACCCTAAGGGTTACTATATTATAGCAGATTACTATAATTAATATTGGTATTATGAGGCAAAGTCACTTTATAAAAGGTGAATCTTGTTCTTTGCATTTCGTGTGAGAAGATATACAAACAACATAATATTTCAGAAAGATTTACATTAAAATGGTTAATATCGAAGAGACACATTCTTAAAGAGTTTAGTTTCATTTATATAGAAATCTTATTTCTCTGGTATTGCCAATAATTATGCCAGTCAAATAAGAATTGACTGTGCTTATTATCTTATTATTTTCCTAGATTTGTCTGTCTACTCATTTTGAAAGAAGTATTTTTAAATATACTGAATATTGAAAGAAAGATCAAATGATAAATCATTATTTTGTTCTAGGTTCTGTTTACAGAGGAAGATGTGAAATTCTACCTCGCAGAACTGGCCCTTGCTTTGGATCATCTGCACCAATTAGGAATTGTTTATAGAGACCTGAAGCCAGAAAAGTAAAGCTGTATTCTTTTGTTTTCATGTTGTCTGTATTTCTGGAACTGCTTTTTGTCAAACTCTGTTAGATCTTTTAAATATTATAGGGAATTCTATATGAATTATATGAAACTTATTTGTAAAAAGTAATCTTTGTGAGACGTACATTGACTTTAAGTTAATCATTTAAATTTTTTACATATATTAAATAGATACTGACCTATCTTAGTTTTATGATTTTTATGTAAATGTTTTATGTAAAATATTTTATTCCATCTTGTTGAATGTGAATTTTGATTTACAGCATTTTGCTTGATGAAATAGGACATATCAAATTAACAGGTATGCAGATTTTCTTATTATACCCTTAGCCACTTGATTCATATTTTTTATTATTTTAATATAAATTTGTCTAAGCCTGTTTTTTTCTCTTTCTGAATTTGATTTGCAATTTATTTGTCTCTTTAGTGAATTAAATGTTACTTGATGGTTAGACTGCTCTCAATATGTTCTAATTGTAATATTAAAAAATTGTACATTAGATACACTTATCCTGAATAAGAAATGATCGTTTTCTAGGTAACAATACATCATCTTAGTTTGAGTCTAGACAGAAAGATGTATCACAAGTAGTCATCACATTTGAAATATAGTGACAACCTTCCCTCCACCTTCCCTAACTCCTGGCAACCACTTATATGTCCTACATCTCTATAATTTTGTTATTTTGAGAGTGATATAGAAATAGAATCATACAGTAGTCACACTACTGAGCATTTATCCTAGAAAAATAAAAACCTATGTTCACATAAAAGCCTGTATATGAATGTTCATAACAACTCTATTTGTAATAGCCCAAGACTGGAAATTACCTAAATGTCCTTCAGAAGGGGAATGGATAAATGTAAATTGTCATACTTCCATATGATGACATACTACTCAGCAGTAAAAAGGAAAGACCTGTTGAGACATCCAGCAACTTGGATGAATCTCAAGGGCATTGTGCTGAGCGAGCCAGTCTAAAAACGTTACATGTGTTTTCAATAGATAGTAAATTCTGTATTTTATTATTTGAATGCTTGAACAGAGATAAGATGAAGATGTAGTCTTTACAGATAATTTTAAATAGGTACAGTTTAAAGGTAAGTTGCTTTAAATTCCTGTGTATACTGCATCAATGCAAAAATAAAATATCAAACAGTTACCTCAAAAGCTGACATAAATATGAAAAAGTTCAAATAAAGTTTAGTGACTCTTATTGATTCACAGCCTGATTATCTTTTTCATGTACAAAAGAAATGATGTGGGTTCGAAGATATTTAAAGAGAAAAAGGAAAGGAAAATAACAGTAGGGAACAGTAGAGTTTTGAGATTTTTATATAATACATAAATTTTATTTTATAGCAATTAAAAAGATAATTAAAAATTAATTCCTCTTTTCATTTTTGCTTAATAAAGTATACCTCTTTTGTCAGAGGTGAGAAAGAGAGGTGGGAAAAAGAGTAGAAAAAAACCTATTTTTCTCTCTCTACATTAAGGTTAATTACGTAAATAATGATGCCAAGTTTATTTGTATTTAGTGTTCTCATTTTAATTCTGCTTTTGATAGATTTTAGAGACTTAAACTGTCTGAGGAGGGAAGAATAGATAGGATCAATATTAATTTATAAGCAAGGGACACAAAGCATGTAACAGGAAGAAATGTGATTTATAATTTTTTTTAACAATTCAATTTATTTTCCTTGCAATGGCACAAACATTTCTTTTAAAGAATGTGTACAATAATAAATATTAGATAATTTACAGTTTTATGATTATAACCTTAATTCAAGGTTTTATAATGACTACATTTATGGATTTACCCCGACAGCATTCCAATGAGGTTGGTTAAAGTATGACCACTCACAGCAAGTATTTTAACCCATTTATGCCTGAGGCTGCAATGTTTTGAATTTTTGCAGTCAGACTTTGATGATGACCTTGAGCAGTAGAATATAAATAACTCCCACATGCTTAGCGTTCCAATAATGGAACACTAGGCATAAATGGGTTTAAGAGTTCTTTTATAATGTTTCTTTTGATTTATTTTATATTCTTTATCTTTCTCTTTAATTTTTCTTGTTTGCTTTCTTTCTCCTAGGGAGGGTGTTTGCTAGCATTCTGTTTTCCAAAAATAATTGCAGGAGAATGGCAATACTTTTTTTTTTTTCACTAGTCCACTTTAAAAATTCTCCAGACATAAGGAATGGACCTAGTATCTGGAATGACAGGCTACTCTGAAATTACAATGGACTATAGAAAGTTTCCTGTTGTAACTGTGCTTTGAGTCTGATTGGCCTCGTTCTGAGATTATGATTGTTATAACAGATCAGTAGAATGAGAGTGGATGAGAGTGGATATTCCCAAAGATCTACATCCTTGCTAATATATTATTTATATTATATATTATTATATTATAAAACTTAAGTTTTTTTCCTGAAATCCTGCATCCTTTTCATAGTCTGTATAAAATCCCTTGTATAGTTTATATAAAAATAACTTTATAATATGACTTGCCTCTTTAGAAAAATTATTTCATCATAATATCCCATTAAAAAGTACAGCTCGAATACAGAATTTATTTGAACTGTGGTTGCTATAATCTGTTGCATTTTTTAAATTTTATTTTTTTTAAGAGACAGAGTCTTACTCTGTCACCCAGGCTGGAGGGCAGTGGCAGGATCACATCTTATCACAGCCTTTTTTTAAATTATTATTATTATCACAGCCTTTAACTCCTGGGCTCAAGCCATCCTCCCACCCCAGCCTTCTGGGTAGCTGGGACTTCAGGAACATGCCACCACACCCAGCTATTTTTTGTGTGTGTGGCGACGGAGTCTTGCTATATTGCCCAGGCTGGTCTTGAACTCCTGGCCTCAAGCAATCATCCTGCCACGGCTTCCCAAAGTGTTGGGGTAACAGGTGTGAGCCACTGTGCCCAGCCTATAATGTGTTTTCTGAGAGACATAATTCAGAAGCAACTTCTACAAAGAGAGGGAAGAAAAATATACAGTGGTCAGAGATGTAAATCACACAGTACTTGAGCTGAGTATTTAAGAGAAAAATGTATACTTGAGAAAATAATTCTATGTAGTTTTTATAGTTACTTGCAAACTAATCACTGAGATTGCTTTTATTTATAGTAACTATTCATCAAATTATTATATTCTGAGTGTGCTTTTAAAGTTTAAAGTCTTAGAAAAGAGTCATTTAGATTACAAAGATGTGAAACACTGACCCTCAAACCTACCCCCCAAAATAACCCTTCCATTATGTAGTTGAATTGTACATTTTCTTTTATTTTCAAATTAGTGATTTGGAAAAACCACTGTATAACATATGGCTTGTCTAATCTTGTAGCTAGTTTTATAGTTGTACAATTTTCGTCAGTTGATTGCTGAGCAAATTATAGTTGTTAAATAACAGTTTAGTCAGAAATAGTACGGCAAAGGAACTCTGTGGATTGGCATAAATCTCTGAAAGGTAACAGAAGAATGAGAAAATTCTTCTCTCCCCCCTTCTCTCTGGAATGGCCAAAGAAACTAGTGTTCTTCTCCACAAGCTGTGTTATATTCAGCTGAACTGACCTCGAAGACTAGATGTTAATTATATTTACTTTTGTAAATGGAATGTGCAGAGTTTACAAGTTTCAGTATACAGAGAGAACATAGTGGCACAGTGAAAAGATTTTTAAAAATTATACCAAAAGTTAAAATACATTAAGCTATTATCTAAGAATAAGTGATTTTTTTAAATGAAAATGTTGAGCATAGTTAGAAAATCAGTTTTGAGGGGACCTCAAATTAAGTGTTAATGTTGATATTTTATTGTAAACAAGCAATATAGGGCTTATAAACTTTTTTATTTTTAAAATGAAAGTATACTTTACATATATTAAAACTCATCCTTCTGATGTCTTTTGGTGTTGGGACTATCCCGTGTCTTGACTGCATCAATGTCAGTGTCCTGGCTGTGGTTATAGTACTATAGTTTTGCAAGATTTTACCATGGGAAACACTGGATAAACAGGATCCCTGTAGTTTTTCATGTAACAGCATGCGAATCTGCAATCATCTCAAAATATAAAGTTTAATTTTTAAAAATCACTTTTGTTGTATGTATAGTTCTGTAAGTTTTGACAAATGCGTACAGCCTTGTAACTATCACCAAAATAAAAATATGAAACAGTTCCATAACCCTCCTCCCCCAAATTCTCCCCTTATAAGTCAGTCCTCCCTTTACCCCAAGCCAACTACCAGTCTGCTTTCTGTTCCTGTATATATGCTTTTTCCATAATGTAATTATGAACAGAGGCATACAGTATACAGCCTTTTGAGACTGGCTTCATTTAATTAGCATAGGGCATTTGAGATTCATCCATATTGTTGGCTGTATCAGTGAGTGTTTTTTTAAATTGCTAAGTAGTGTTTCATTTTATGGTGGTACCATGATTTGTTTATCCATTCCTCAATGAGGAGGCATTTGAGTTATTTCCTGCTTTGGGCAATGATGAATAAAGCCACTGTAAAACTTCATGTATAGGTTTTCTTTTTACCATAAATTTTTATTTCAGTTAAGTAAATACATAAGGAGTGAGATTAGTTGATCATATGTTGAGTATATTTAACTAAGTGAGAAAACTTCAAACTGATTTCCAAAGTGGTTGTAATATTTTGTATACCCACCCACAATGTCCAGTGGATCTGTATCCTCACTAGCATTTTGTATTGTTAGTATTTTTTATTTTAGCTATTCTAATAGGCATTAGGTAGAATTATCATGGTTTTATTTTGTATTTTTCTAATAACTAATGACACTAAGCACATTTTCATATATTTATTTCTTTGAGAAGTGTCTATTCAGATCTTTTGCCCATTAAAAAATTGGATTGTTTGTTTGGTTTTCAGCCTAGAATGTTTTATATTTTTTAAAATTTAAATTTAAATTTTGTGGGTACATACGTGTATATATTTATGTGTTGTATGAGATATTTTGATACAGGCATGCAATGCCTAATAATCACATCAGGGTAAATGGGGTATATACATCACCTCAAGCATTTATCCTTTATATTACAAACAATCCAATCATATGCATTTAGTTATTTAAAAATGTATAATTAAATTATTTTTGACTATACTCACCCTGTTGTGCTAGCTAATATTAAGTCTTATTTATTCTAACTATTTTTTGCACCCATTATCCATCCCTCATCCCCTAAGTCCCTTCCCCCGTACCCTTCCCAGCCACTAGTAACCATCCTTCTACTCTATTTCCATGAGTTCAATTATTTTAATTTTCATCTCCCATAAATAAGTGAGAACATAAGTTTATTTTTCTGTGCCTGGCTTATTTCAGTTAACACAGTGACCTCCAGTTCCACTCACAATGCAGATGACAGGTTCTTACTCTTTTTTATGGATGAATAGTACTCTGTTGTGTATAAGTGCCACATTTTCTTTATCCATTTGTCTGTCAATGGGCATTTAGATTGCTTTCTTATCTTGGTTATTAAAAACAGTGCTGCAGCAAACATGGGAGTACAGATATCTCTTCATTGTACTGATTTCCTTTCTTTTAGGTTTGTACCCAGCAGTGGGATTAATGGATCATATGGTAGCTCTGTTTTTAGTTTTTTTTGAGGAACCTCCAAACTGTTCTCCATAGTGGTTGTGCTGATTTACATTCTCACCAACAGCGTATGAGGTTTCCTTTTTCTCTCCATCCTTGGCAGCATTTTTTTATTGCCTGACTTTTGAATAAAGGCCTCATTTTAGGGAGAAATTATATCTCATTGTAGTTTTGATTTGCATTTCTCTGGTGATCAATGATGTTGAGCACCTTTTCATATGCCTGTTTGCCATTTGTATGCTTTCTTTTGAGGATTTTTTATTCAGATCTTGTGCTCATTTTTTAATTGGATTATTAGACTTTTTCCTGTAGAGTTGTTTGAGCTCCTTATGTATTCTTGTTACTAATCCCTTGTCAGATGGGCAGTTTGCAAATATTTTCCCTTATTCTGTGAATTGTCTCTTCATGTTATTGATTGTTTCCTTTGCCGTGCAGAAGCTTTTTAACTTGATGTGATCCAGTTTGTCCATATTTGCTTTGATCACCTGTGCTTGTGGGCTATTACTTAAGAAATCTTTGCCCAGTCCAATATGCTGGCAAGTTTATCCAATGTTTTCTTGTAGTAGTTTTATTGTTCAAGGTCTCAGATGTAAATTTTTAATCCATTTTGTTTTTATTTTTGTATATAGCAAGAGCTAGAGATGTAGTTTCATTCATCTGTATATGCATATCCAGTTTTCCTAGCACCATTTATTGAACACACCGTCCTTTACCCAATGTATGTTCTTGGCACCTTGTCAAAAAGGAATTTACTGTAGATACATGGATTTATCTCTGGGTTCTCTATTCTGTTCCCTGTTCTATGTTTCTGTTTTTATGACAGTACCATGTTACTATAGCTTTGTAGTATAATTTGAAGTTAGATAATGTGATTCCTCCAGTTTTGTTCTTTTTGTGTAGGTAGCTTTATCTATACTGGGTATTTTGTGGATCCATATAAATTTTAGGACTTTTTTTTCTATTTCTGTGTAGAATCTCATTCTACTTTGAAAGGTATTGTGTTTAATCTGTAGATTGCTTTGGGTAGTATGGACAATTTTAACAATATTGACTCTTTCAATTCATGAACTTGGAATATCTTTCCATTTTTTGTGTGTCTTTCTCAATTTCTTGCCTCATTTTAGTACATTCCTTTTTACATGTCTTTAATTTCTTTTTATCAGTGTTTTGTAGTTTCATTGTAGAGATATTTTACTTCTTGGTTAATTACTATGTATTTGATTTTATTTTTAGCTATTGTAAGTGGCATCACTTTCTGGATTTCATTTTCAGATTGTTCTCTGTCGGCCTGTAGAAATGCTACTGATTTTTGTGTGTTCATTTTGTATCCTGCAACTTTGCTGAGTTTGTCAGTTCTAATAGTTTCTTGGAGGAGTCTTTAGGTTTTTCCAAATGTAAGATAATACCATCAGTAAAAAAGGATAATTTGACTTCTTCCTTTCTCACTTGGATGCCCTTTTTCTTTCTCTTGTCTGATTGCTCTGGTTAGGACTTGCAGTACTATGTTGATTAACAGTAGTGAAAGCAGGCATCCTCATTGTGTTCCAGGTCTCAGGGGAAAGGATGACAGTTTTTCCCAATTCAGTATGATACTAACTGTGGGTGTGTCATATATGGCTTTGATTATGTTGAAGCATGTTCCTTCTATACCCAATTTTCTGAGGGTTTTTTTTTTTATCATGAAGAGATGTTGAGTTTCATTGGGTGCTTTTTCAACATCAGTTGAAATCATCATGTGGTTTTTGTCCTTCTTTTTGTTGGTATGATGTGTCATATTAAGTGATTTGCATATGGTGAACCATCCTTGCATACCTGGGACAAATCTCACTTGGTCATGATGAACAGTCTTTTTAATGTATTATTGAATTCAATTTGCTAGTATCTTGTTGAGGATTTTTGCATTATTATTCATCAGAGATATTGGCCTGTAGTTTTTTGTTGTCTTATCTTTGTCTGGTTTGGGTATCAGGGTAATACTTGCCTCATAGAATGACTTTGGGAGTATTCCCTCCTGCTCTATTTTTTGGAATATTATGAACAGGATTGGTATTAATTCTTCTTTAAATGTTTGGAGGAGTGTAGCACTGAAGCCATCAGGCCCTGGGCAGTTCATTACTGGGAGACTTTTTATTATGATGTTGATCTTACTAATTGTTATTGGCCTCTTCAGGTTTTGGATTTCTTGGTAGGTTTTACGTGACAAGGAATTTGTCCATTTTCTCTAGATTTTCCCATTTATTGGCATGTAGTTGCTCATAGTAGCCACTAATGACCCTTTGAATTTCTGTGGTATCAGTCGTAATATTTCCTTTTTCATCTCTAATTTTAATTATTGGGGTCTTCTCCCTGTTTTTCTTTGATAGTCTGGCTAATGGTTTATCAATTTTGTTTGTTTTTTCAAAAAGCAAGTTTTTATTTCATTGGTCTTTTATATTATTTTCCTCATTTAAAATTCATTTATTTCTGCTCTGATATTTATTACTTCTTTTCTCCGACTAATTTGGGTTCAATTCACTTGCTTCTCTAGTTCTTTAAGATACATCATAAAGTTATTTGAATTTTTTTTTGATGTAAGCACTTTCAGCTATAAATTTCCATCTTAGTACTGCTTTCACTGTATTCCATAGGATTTTTTATGTTGTATTTCTATTATCATTAATTTCAAGAAATTTTTAAATTTCTTTCTTAATTTTTTTATTGACTCTCTGGTCATTCAGGAACATATTGTTTTATTTCTATGTGTTTATATAGTTTACAAAATTCCTCTTGTTGTTGACGTCTAGTTGTATTCAGTTGTGATCACAGAAGATGCTTGATATTATTTCAGATTTTTGAATATATTAAGACTTGTTTTGTGATCTAACATATGGTCTATTCTTGAGAATGATCCATGTGCTGAGGAGAAGAATGTGTATTCTGCAGCCTTTGGATGAAATGTTCTGTAAGTATCTATTAGGTCCACTTTTTCTATGGTGCAGATTAAGTTCGATATTTCATTGTTGAGTTTTCTGTCTGGGAGATCTGTCCAATGCTGAAAGTGGGGTGTTGAAGTCACCGGCTGTTACTGTATTGAGTTCTATATCCCTCTTTATCTCTAATAATATTTGCTCTGTATATATGGTTGCTCCAGTTTTGGGTCCACAGATATTTATAATTTTTCTATCTTCTTGCAGGATTGACCCCTTTATCATTATATAATGACCTCCATTTCCCTTCTTATAATTTTTGCCTTCAAATCTATTTTGTATGATATAACTACTCCTGCTCCTTTGTGGTTTCCATTGGCATGGAATATCTTTTCCCATTTCTTTATTTTCAGTCTGTATGTATCTTTATGGGTGAAGTGTGTTTCCTGTAGGCAACAGATCATTGTTTCTTGTTTTTTCATGGTTCATCCAGTCTGTGTATTTTGATTGTTTAGTCCATTTACATAAAATGTTATTATTAATAAATCGGGACTTACTCATGCCATTTTTTTAGTTGTTTTCTGGTCTTCTCTTCCTTGTTTTCTTCCTCCCTGCCCTCCTTTTACTGAAGGTGATTTTCTGTGGTGCTGTGATTTAGTTTCTTTCTCTTTATTTATTTATTTATGTATTTTTTGAGATGGAGTCTTGCTCTGTCGCCCAGGCTGGAGTGAAGTGGTGCAATCTTGGCTCACTGCAAGCTCCACCTCCCGGGTTCACGCCATTCTCCTGCCTCAGCCTCCCAAGTAGCTGGGACTACAGGCACCTGCCACCACACCTGGCTAATTTTTTGGTATTTTTAGTAGAGACAGGTTTCACCGTGTTAGCCAGGATGGTCTCAATCTCTTGAACTTGTGATCTGCCCGCCTCGGCCTCCCAAAGTGCTGTGATTACAGGCATGATCCACCACACCCAGCCTTTTTCTCTTTATTTTTTGCATATCTGTTGTATGTTTTTCGGTTTGAGAATACCATGAGGCTTGCCAATATGATCTAATACCTCTTATTTTAAACTGATGAAAACTTAACACTGATTGTCCAAACAAACATGCAAAAAAACCTGATAAAAACACTACACTTTGAATTCATCCCCCCACTTTTCAAGTTTTCATTGCTTCTCTTTATGTCTTATTGTACTATGTTTTGAAAAGTTTTTGTAGTTATTATTTGATTGGTTCATCATTTAGTCTTTCTACTTAAGAGGAATTTATACCCCACAATGACAGCATAATAATATTCCCTGCATTTTTCTTTATGCTTACTATTATAGTGAGTTTTGTACTTTCAGATGATTTCTTCTTGCTTATTACATACTTTTCTTTCAGATTGAAGAACTCCCTTTAGCATTTCTTATAAGACAGGTCTGGTGTTGATGAAATCTCTCAGTTATTGTTTGTCTGGGAAGATCTTTATTTCTCCATCATGCATGAAAAATATGTTTTGCCAGTTATAATAGTATAAAGTAATTTTTTTTCAGCACTTTAAATATGTCATGCCACTCTCTCCTAACCTGTAAAGTTTCCACTGAAAAGTATGCTGCCAGGTGTATTGGGGCTCCATTATGTCATTTGTTTATTTTCTCTTGCTGCTTTTAGGATACTTTATCAATGAACTTTTGGAGTTTGATTATTAAATGCCTTGAGGTAGTCTTCTTTGGTTTAAATCTGTTGGATGTTCTATAACTTTCTTGCACTTGTATGTTTATTTCTTTCTCTAGGTTTGGGGAGTTCTCTGATATTATCCCTTTGAATACACTTCTTATCCGTCTTTCTCTGTCTACTTTCTATTCAAGTCCAGTAGCTCTTAGACTTGCCCCTCTTTGGCTGTTTTCTAGATCTTGTAGCCATGCTTTATTCTTTTTTTTTTTTAATTTTGTCTCCTCTGTGTATTTTCAAATAGCTTGTCTTCAAGCTCACAAATTATTTTCACTCCTTGATCAGTTCTTCTATTAAGAGACTGTCATGCATTCTTTGATATGTCAAGTTGCATTTTTCAACTCTAGAATTTCTACTTGATTCTTTTTAATTATTTTAATCTCTTTATTAAAGTTATCTGATAGAATTATAAATTCCTTCTCTTCGTTATCTTTAGTTTCGTTGAGTTTCCTCAACAGAGCTATTTTGAATTATCTATCTGAAAGCCTGCATATCTATCTGTTTCTCCAGAATTGGTTCCTGGTTCCTTATTTAGTTCATTTGGTGAGGTCATGTTTTCCTGGATGGTCTTGCTGCTTGTAGATGCTTGGGAGTGTATGGGCATTGATGAGTTAGATTTTTAATTTGGTCTTGGACTCCGGGCTTGTTTGTACCTGTCCTTCTTGAGAAGACTGTACAGGTATTCGCTGGGAGTTGAACCCCAAGCCCAATAATGCTGTGGTTTTATAGGCTCCTAGAGGTACCCCATTGGTGGCCTTGGATAAATTCTGGAAGAATTCTCTGTATTACCAGTCAGAGAACCTCATTCTTTTCCATTATTTTCTCCCAAACAAATGGAGTCTATCTCTGTGCTGAGCCACCTGGAATGGGGATGTGGTTATGCAATCACCCCTATGGCCGCCACCACACAGACTGCATTGAATCAAACCGGAAGCCAGCACAACACTGGGTCTCGACCTTGGCTCACTATAACTACTACCTGGGTAAAACCTATTTTCACTCAAGGCCATAGTGCTCTACAGTCAGCAGATGTTAAGGCCAAACAGGTTTGTGTCCTTCCTTTCAGGGCAATGAGTTCCCCCAGGCCCCGGGCAGGACCAGGCATGCTGTCTGGGAGCCAAGGATTAGAGTCAAATACCTTAGAAATTTACCTGAAGTTCTATTCTACTGCAGCTAAGCTGGCACTCAGACCATAATCCAGAATCTTTGTTGCACTTCCCTCCCCTCTCCACAGGGAGAAGGGCCTCTCCCTATAGCCATCAGCACCAGCAGCCCATAGCAGGGGTTCTGCCAGGCCACTGGCAATGTTCACTTAAAGCCCAGTGGCTCTTCAGTCAACAAGTGGTGAATGCTGCCAGGCTGGGAACTCGTTCTTCAGAGCACTGGGCTCCCATATGCCCCAGGGCAGATCCAGAAATTATATCCAAGAGCCTAGGCTCAGACTCAAGAGACCTCAAGAGCCTGCTTATTGGCCTACCCCACTGTGGCTGAGCTGGTACCTAAGGTGCATTACCTTTCTGTCTGCTTTTCTCAAACAGAAGGAATCTTTTTCTGTAGCTACCACAGCTCTCAATTTGTTGGATCACACCTGAAGCCAGCATTTCTCAGAGCCCAAGGCCCATGGTGTACTACCTGGGTATATTGCTGCTGGTGGTTGTTCATGGCCCAAGAGCTCGTTAATCAGCAGGCAATGAATCCTGCCAGGACTGGGTTCTTCTCTTCAAGACAGTGGGTTTCCTTTTGGCCCAGGATGTGTCTAGAAATACCATCCATGAGCTAGGGCCTGGAATGGGAACCTCACAACTCTGCCCAGTGTCCTGTCCTACTATGGCTGAGCTGATATCTAAGATGCAAGACAAAGTCCTCTTTACTTTTTGTTCCTTCCTCCTTAAGCAGAAGGAAGGAGTCACTTTTGTTGCTGTGCTGTCTGGGGTTGGGGGAATGGTGGCACAAGTACTCCCTTAGCCACCCTGGCTGGTATCTCCCTAGGTCACATGCCACCCTAGTCCACTGGCTCTAATTCCAGTTCAACACTAGTAGTTGCCTAGGAATTGCAGGGTTTGCATCTTAGACTGCCTTTTAAGTTTACCTAGGACCCCAGAGCACTTTGGCCCAAGATGGCGAGGCTTGCTGAGGAGTTCAAATTTAGACCACTGGGACAGGCAATTCCCTTCTGTCTAGTTCTTGTCCAAAAGCTTCCTCTGGCCGGGTGCAGTGGCTCATGCCTATAAACCCAGCACTTTGGGAGACCGAGGTGGATGGATCATCTGAGGTCAGGAGTTCGAGACCAGCCTGACCAACATGGTGAAACCCTGCCTCTACTAAAAGCACGAAAAAAATTAGCTGCCCGTGGTGGCGGGCGCCTGTAATCCTAGCTACTCAGGAGGCTGAGGCAGGAGAATCACTTGAACCCGAGAGGCGGAGGTTGCAGTGAGCAAGACTCTGTCTCAAAAAAAAAAAAAAAAAAAAAAAAAACTTAAAAAAAATAACAAAAGCTTCCTCCATATGTGGGTGCTGGCTGAGGCCAGCATGACTTTGCTGTCTGCTGTAACAGGGCAGCACTGAATTCAATGTAAAGCCCCCCAGTTGCTGAGCTTTCCCTCCCCTATCTGCAAAGACTCTCCTCACTGCATGGCTGCTGCTGGGGCATGGGGAAGGGGTGTCATCAGTGATTCATGACTGTCTCTTCTACCCTCTTCAGTGCCTCTTTCAGCAATATGAAGTTAAAACTAAGTACTGTGATTACTCACCCGATTTTTGATTCTTGTGATGGTGCTTTTCTGTGTGCAGAGAGTTGTTAAACTTTGGTGTTCCTGCAGAAGCTACAAATGGTATAGGCTTCTATTTTGCCATCTTGCTCCATCGTTTCCTCCTGTAGCTTCTTTTTCATTTTCTTAATACCATTTTCTGAAGAACAGTTTTGTTTATTTTGATGATGTCCAGTTTGTCATTATTTTTCTTTTATGGATTATACTTTTGATGTATCTAAGAAATCCTTGTCTAACCCAAGATCACAAAGAATTTCTATTTTCTTTTTTGTAAATTTTATAGTTTTAGGTTTTACATGGTTTACGATCCATTTTGAGTTAATTATTTATGGTATGAGGATGAATTTTTCTATATCTCTATCCTACTTGTTCTGGTACCATTTGTTGAAAAGACTGCTTTTTCTCCATGGAATTGCTTTTGCACCTTTGCAAGAAATTAAGTGACAATATAGAGCCAGTTCTGTTACAGTGTGACATATGTGATCTAAATCACTGCAGTATGCATAAATCCATAGTATATAAACCACAGAACTTATGGGGAAAAGGAGGCAAGGGGCATAACTTTAAAATGTTTGATCAGTGATACACAAAAGAAAAGAAAGTAAAAAGGGTAGCATTGTTCTGTATGTTCTAAATGATTAAGAAATACATAAAGACTGCAATAAATACAGTTCCTTACCTTGAAAAAGACCCGAAGTTTGCTTGTGGAAGTGGGTGTCAGAAAAGTTACAGTTTGTAAGTTATAATGATGTAGTGGAAGTTAGATTATCTGGAATTGGAAGGAAAATTTTAACGCTAGAGGTGGACAGGAGTGGCTCATAACAAATACAGTGAATTAGCTGGTAGATGTTTGAGGTGTGTGCATATGTGCATTTTATGTATTTCTACTTTCCTAAGCTCAGCTGATTCAGTTTTCTGTGCTCATGTAACGCTTCCTGCAGACAAAATCACTGATAAGCCAGTGTGAAATTCACGTTATACTTAGATTGTTTGCTAAGATATCAATTGCATTAGAACAAATTTGCATTTTCAAAAGAAGCATTATAGCAGAATTAACTGTATATGTCAGTCTATCATTGTACACTCTTCTGTTCCATTGATATATATGTCCAACCTTTTTCCGGTACCCCACTATCTTGATTACCGTAGCTTTATAGTAAGTGTTGAAGTCAGGTGTAGTGTAAGTCCAACTGTTTTCTTCCTTTTCAAAATTGTTTGGACTATTTTATTTTCTTGACTTTTTTATACAAATTGTAGAATCAGCTTATTGATTTCTACAAAAGAAATTTTGCTGGGATTTTATTGAAGTTTCATTGAATTGGTATATCAGTTTGGGGAGAATTGATACCTTAACAACATTAAATCGTCCAATTCATGAACATGGTATAACTTCCCATTTATTTAGGTCTACTTTGATTTCTTTCATCAGTGTTTCCAGTTTTCAGCATATAATTCTTGCATATATATTTTATAGCTGTAGATGTATATTTATACCTGTAGATTTCATGTTTGATATTTTTGGTGGTATTATAAATGGTACTTTTTAAATTTCGTCTTCCAGTTGTTCATTAGTAATACCAAGAAATAAGATTGATTTTTATTATTGACATCTTTAGCTCCTTGAAGGCTTTGAACAAAAATGGAAGCTCACCAAAGCCAAAGCAAAATTTGCTTTTTTAATATTTTAAAAAGTATAAGTTACTATTTCTGTTTTGTCTTAGTCTATTTTAAAACTTAGATCAATACGGCAGCTTTGATTTAATTGTTGTTCCCTCACATTTTTTGCACTATATTCTAGTGTAGACCTGAAAGCATGTATTTTGAGGATGAGATTTCATGGAAGGATCTTTAAATGACCTTAAAGAGTATTGTTATGAAATACAGGCTGCTTTCTCTTATTGATCTCACAGGAACTTTCTTAAGAGTAACTGTAGGCCATCCATAAATAATTGTAATGTTTAATACATTATTTTGTTTCTTTTGACGTTTTCTATTTTCTGAAGTTTTTCAGACACATTTTTTGGTAATACTGTTATTATAGATTTTGGACTCAGCAAGGAGTCAGTAGATCAAGAAAAGAAGGCTTACTCATTTTGTGGTACAGTAGAGTATATGGCTCCTGAAGTAGTAAATAGGAGAGGCCATTCCCAGAGTGCTGATTGGTGGTCATATGGTGTTCTTATGGTAAGTAGCATTATTTGTTTTAATTATGCCAACCTGTGATTGATATTACTTATAATTTTATTTTAATTCAAATTTTGGGATTTAGCAGGTCAGAAAGGGGTTCTGATAATTTATAATTAACACCAAAAACCTTGTGATTGGCTAGCTGTTACACAATAAAAATTAAGATTTTGGTGTTCTGATTTATTTTAAAGTTGCTAGTAAAAAGGTAAATGACAGCATTGTTATTATAAACTATTCATATTTGATACTTATGAAAAGGTCTGTCAGATTCTATATTTCAGAATGATGAGTTTATCAGTTACATGGTATTTTAATTGAATGTTACAGAACTTAGCACCTTACCATATAGTGTCTTATTGTCAGATTGTTCCATGTATTCCCTAGAAAGGTTATAAACCTGTTGAGCAGAGGAATCATGTCTTATACTACTTTTCATCTCCCATAGTATCAAGCATAGTGAGCATTTCAGTAGATGCTTAATACAGACTGACTAATTTGGTATGAGATTAAGCATAGAATTTGCAGTAGTCAGTAGGATGATAGATAAATAGCTGTTGAATTAGATATAATTTGCTTTGGAGGTCTGATCCATTTTGTCCATTTATCACTGAGTAGCACATCAAATGACACATCAGCATGTTAAGTGTCTCTTATAAGCCTGACATATTAGGAGGCCTGTGGGGTAGGAACTGATTCTAAGTAAAATATTTGGTCTTTTTCAATTGGAGTAGCTAAATAAACTCTCAAGAAGTACCTTAGGAGTTCAGGGAAGATTTAATGTAAGCTGATGTAGGCAAACTGAAAGAGTTGGAACTTAAATTAAGCCCTGAAGGATGGATAAAATTTAAATAGTTGTGTGTCAAGAAGGAGAGTTATTGTGATCATATTAGCAAAGACTTGGAGAACCAGTTTGACTAGAGAAGTGGAGAAAGAGGGCAAAGGTGGAGGAAGTGAAGCTATAAACCTATAAGCATTTATACATGATTCTCTGGGTAGGAGGAAACTTTTAGATTCTTAAACAGGCTGGAAATTAGAGAAAATTGTATTTTAGGAGGATTAGCCTTGTAAGTGGATTGTAATGGAAGAAACTAGAAATAGGAAGACAAAAGAGATCTTTAAAGACAATTGTAAGATTATAGAGATTTCAAAGTAAGCAGTTGTTAACCTTGGTAGCAAATTAGATGACACAGATCAAAAAGAAATGAATTGTCAAAGATAAAAATGCCTATAAAATTTGTGAGCTTTAGGGGGTTCAAAGAATGGTAAGTTAATAGAAGAGATAGCTGAAGAGGACAGCTGGTTTTGGAAGTGGGAAAAAATAATTTTTAACATGTAGCATAGGTTACTGTAGGTTAATGACTCACCACTGGGTGGTGATAAACTAGGAGGGGTAGTGGAGAGAGAATCAGAATCATTTGGAGACCTTAATACGTATATATTAACTACCCAACGTGTAGTTTCTTTGAGGGAAGATGTGAGTCCTATATACGATCCTTCCTTCATTCTCTCCCTGAAGTTCTCACCTCTACTCCTCCAGTCTTTGGTGGCGTACCATTACTTAAGATTTGGGAAGGAAAGCTGGAGTTTGAGAGAGATTAAGCCTTGAACAGCAGATTTTGGGAGACATTAAGATACAGAAGAGACTTGAATGTATAAGCTCACTTAGATTGTGAGTTCAGATAAATGAGTAGAAGACTAAGGCCAAAGCCATTATTGAATCTAAGTTTGAGATTTAAATACTGGTGATACAAAAACTTCTCTTTAATGTACCGTAATGATTTTTAGAGGTAGTCTTTTTTTATACCATTATTTAATGTTCTAGTTAGTCACATTGCAGTCAGTTCTCTTTGAGAAAATGTTTTCCTTCTTCTGTGTACAACTAAGGTGTATGTTTCTTTTTTAAAGCTATTGGCATGTGTGTGTGTGGCAGGGGGTGGTGGTGGTGGTGTGTTCTGCTGCTTCTACTTCTTTTTTGGCTCCTGTTTTGGGGGCAGTGGAGGGAATGAGAATGGTTAAATCTTTCTTGGGCATGTATGAATTTGAAATGCTTTTCTGCTTATTTTTCCTTTTCCTTTATTATTAAACATTCTCTTCAAAAGAGTATATTTGTTTTAACAGAAAATGCATTGTGTGTATTTTCAAATTGCTTTGGCTTTGAGAACATAGCCGAATTAGAACTGAGGAAGAATTGGTTGGTTTCATCTGCTACAGGTCACCATCAGTTGAGCTATATATATAGAGAGAGAGAGTGGGATACCAGAAGTATATTTCTTTAAGTGACCTAGTTTTCTGGTCCCATTTTGATCTACTATCATGTAGATCTTACAATTTGATGATTATATAGAAGTCTCAGTTTTTTTCTAGAGAATCTTATTATATATTCTAAGGTGTTCTAATTGTGTGGTGTGTTTTGTTTGTTTGTTTTAGTTTGAAATGCTTACTGGTACTCTGCCATTTCAAGGTAAAGACAGAAATGAGACCATGAATATGATATTAAAGTAAGTGTAAACAGTATGTTTTTCTTTTGGGAAAAAAATCTCTTGCTTTCAGTTTTGAAAAAATTATTGCGGTTTTAAAATAATACAAGAGTACCTTTTTCTCACTGTCTTGTTCCCTTCTACCATATACAGGACTGTACCCTTGTAAAAGCACTTTTAAAAGTTCTTTTTGAGATTTTTCAAATCAAAAATGTGGCTAAATTTAAGTGAAACTTTCTAAAATCCTCTGTTTCAGAGCAAAACTTGGAATGCCTCAATTTCTTAGTGCTGAAGCACAAAGTCTTCTAAGGATGTTATTCAAAAGGAATCCAGCAAATAGATTGGGTATTGCTTATTTTCTTAGCTTTTATAGAAGTAACTGCATGTTTTGGGAGGATAATTAAATCTTTATGTTTTCTTGTTTGATTTGAGCACATTACTTCTATACGTAGAATTTTTCATTTTGTGTGTGCATTTCAGACAAAGTAAACTCTGTTATGTCCATGATTTAAAACTGAAGTAGTCTAGTTAATGAAAGCTTCTGTTCAACCTATTATTATGTATATATTATGGGTTACTTCTTTTGAAATAATAAACAGATTCTCCCTTGTACAGGTAATCTTTTATATATTTGAAGATAGATATTTTGCCCCCCCCCAATATTCTTCAAAGTAAATATTATGTTTCTGTAACTACTTTTTTGACCCCTTTCTGGTAGCCTTTCCCTGTATCCAGATGCGATCCTATTATTTATGCCCTTGTGTGAAAATTTCAGTGTCACTTTATTCCTTTGTACCTTTCAATTTGGCATATAAATATGAGGTCATAAGATAAATTAGGAATGAAAAAATATGTATTTAAGTTTAAGTATTATGTTTAATACTATTTGATTTGATTTGGGAGACACTTTATTGTAGTTCAATATGAATGTTAGTTATTTTTTATCACAGTAAAATGAAAGGACCAGCTAATAAAATGCCAGATAAGAAATCATGTATTTTTCTTTTCAAGGAATGTATGAAATATGTGTATTCCTGTTTACAGATAGCAGTCTGGAAGCCAGGGAGCAAGACTAAAAAAAATCATAAAAATAAAATATCATTTCTTTTTTTTATAGGATCAGAAGGAGTTGAAGAAATCAAAAGACATCTGTTTTTTGCAAATATTGACTGGGATGTAAGTTAAGTAGAAAGCTTGTTATTGAATAACTTCATATGACCAACACAGGATATTAAAGATTTATTGCTTTTAATCTAAATAACAAATCAGTGGAATATTTACATACATATTTATTTTTCTTTTTCTTAAAAAAATAATTTAGATCTGGGGGTGCATTTGTGGGTTTTTTCCGTGGATGTATTGCATAATGGTGGGTTTGGATTTCTAATGTACCCATCAACCAAACAGTGACCAGTAGGTAATTTTTCAACCCTCAATTCCCTTTTAACTTCTCCCCTTTTGGAGTCCTCGGTGTCTATTATTTCCATCTGTATGTCCATGTGTATCCATTGTGTAGCTCCCACTTATAAGTGAGAACATGGGATATTTGATTTTCTGAGTTATTTCACATAGGATAATAATCTCCACCTCCATCCATGTTGCTGCAAAGATAATGATTTTATTCTTTCTTATGGCTGCATAGTATTCCATGGTGTCTATATACCTATTTTCTTTATCCAATTAACCATTGATGGACACTTAGATTGATTCCATGACTTTGCTATTGTGAACAGTGCTGTGATAGACATACAAGTGCAGGTGTCCTTTTTATATAATGATTTATTTTCCTTTAGGTACATACCTATTAGTGGGATTGCTGGGTCAAATTTTTTTGATTATTAGTTCTTTGAGAAATCTTCATATGGTTTTTCATAAAGGTTGTACTAATTTACATTCCCATTAACAGTGTATAAGTGTACCTGTTTTCTCCCACATCCATGCCAACATCTGTTATTTTCTAACTTTTTAATAAAAGCCCTCCTGACTGATATAAAATCATATTTCATTGTGGTTTTAATTTGCATTTTTCTGATGATTAGTGATATTGAGCATTTTTCCATGTTTGTTGGCTGCTTGTATGTCTTCTTTTGTAAAATGCGTGTTCATATCCTTTGCCCACCTTTTAATAGGTTTGTTTGTTTGTTTGTTTACCTGTTGAGTTGTTTGAGTACCTTGCAGATCTCGATATTAGTCTTTTGTCAGAGGCATAGTTTGCAAATATTTTATCCCATTCTGTAGGTCATCTTTTTACTCTATTGATTATTTATTTGGCTGTGCAGGAAATTAATTAAGTCCAATTTGTCTACTTTTGTTTTTGTTGCATTTGCTTTTGGGATCTTAGTCATAAATTCTTTGTATAGATCAATGTCCAGAAGAGTTTTGCCTAGGTTTTCTTCTAGGACCTTTGTAGTTTCACATCTTATGTTTAAGTCTTCAAACAATCTTGTGTTAATTATTGTAAACAGTGAGAGATAGGGGTCCAGTTTTATTCTTCTTCATGTGGCTAGGCAATTTTCCCAATACCATGTGTTGAATAGAGTGTTCTCTCCTCATTGTTTATTGTTGTAGATTTTGTAGAAAATCAGATGGCTATAGGTATGCAGCTTTATTTCTGGGTTCTCTGTTTTGTTCCATTGATCTATGTGTCTATTTTTGTACAAGTACTCTGCTGTTTTAGTTACTATAGCCTTGTAGTATAATTTGAAATTAGGAAATGTGATGCGTCTGGCTTTGTTAATTTTACTTAGGGTTGCTTTGGCTATTTAGGCTGTTTTTTGGTTCTGTGTAAACATTAGGATTGTTATTTCTAATTCTCTGAAGGATGGCATTCATAGTTTGATAGGAATTGTATTGAATGTGGATATTGCTTTGGTCAGTATGTTTTTTTTTGTTGTTGTTTTGTTTGTTTGTTTGTTTTTTGACAGCGTCTCTCTCTGTCACCCAGGCTGGAATGCAGTGGCACAATCACAGCTCACTGCAGCTTTGACCTCCTAGACTTAAGCAATCCTCCCACTTCAGCCTCCTGAGCAGCTGGGGATACAGGTGTATGCCACCGTGTCTGGCTAATTTAAATTTTTTTGGTAAAGATGAGGTCTCGGTATGTTGACTAGGATGGTCTGGAACTTCTGGGTTCAAGCGATTCTCCTGCCTCAGCCTCCCAAAGTGCTGAGATTACAGGCGTGAACCACTGTGCCTGGACTGGTATGGTCATTTTAATGATATTGATTCTTTCAATTCATGAGCATGAGATGTTTCTCCATTTGTCCATTTGATCTAGTTTCTTTCATCTGTGTTTTATAGTTCTCCTTGTAGAACTCTTTCACATTCTTGGTTAAATGTATTTGTAGGTATTTTACTTTTTGCGGCTGTTGTTAATGAGATTGTTAATTAGAACTTTCATTTGGTTTTCAGTTAGAACATCACTGTTGTATAGAAAAGCTACTGATTTTTGTATGTTGATTTTATTTTTTTAAACATTACTGAATTTGTTTATCAAGTCTAGGAGTCTGTTGGAGGAGTCTTTTCTGTTTTCTCAGTATCATATTATATCATCAATCAATAGAGGTACTTTGACTTCCTCTTTTCCAATTTGGATGTATTTTATTTCTTTTTCTTGCTTGATTGCTCTGGCTAGGACTTTCCAGTACTGTGTTGACTAGGAATGGTAAAAGTGGACATCCTTGACCTGTTTCAGTTCTTGAAAGGAATGCTTTCAACTTTCCTGCATTTGGTATGATGTTGGAGTATGTTCCTTCTATGCCTATTATATGGAGGGTTTTTATCATCAAGTGATGTTGAATTGTCTCGAATGCTTTTTCCGCATCTATTGAGATGATCACATGATTTGTGTTTATAATTTTGTTTATGTGGTGATTTACATTTATTGATTAGTAAATGTTGATCCATCCTTTCATCCCTAGAATAAAATCCACTTGATCATGATTAACTATTTTTTGCATGTGCTGTTGGATTTGGTTTGCTAGTATTTCGTTGAGGATTTTTGCATCTATATTCATCAGGGATATTGGCTGGCAGTTTTCTTTTTTGGTTGTGTCCTTACCTGATTTTGCTCTCAGGATGATACCGGTTTTGTAGAATTAATTAGGAAGGATTCCCAACTCCTCAATTTTTGGGAACAGTTTTAGTAAGATTGGCACCAGCTCTTCTTTGCATGTCTGGAAAAACTTGTTTCTAGACCTGTGTGGTCCTGGCTTTTTTTGATGGAACATTTTTTTATTACTGGCTCAGTTTCACTGTTCCTTTGGTCTGTTTGTGTTTTCTGTTTCATCCTGGTTCAATCTTGGGAGACTGTATGTTTCCAGGAATTTATCCATCATCTAGCTTTTCTAGTTTGTGTGTATATACATGTTCATAGTAATCACTGATCATATTTTATATATATTTCCGTGGTATTCATTGCAATGTGTGCCCTTTTCAATTTCTGATTGTACTTGTTAGAATCTTCTCTCTTTTCTTCTTGGTTAAACCATCTAGAGGTCTATCAACTTTGTTTATTATTTCAAAGAACCAGCTTCTCATTTTGTTGATCCTTTTTTTGGTCGCAATCTCATTTTATTCAGCGAAATGAGACTTAGTTATTTTTTGTCTTCTGCTAGCTTTGGGTTTGGTTTTTCTTGTTATTCTACTTTCGTGTAGTTTGACAATAGGTCATTGATTTGAGATCTTTCTGTGTTTTTGATTTAGGCATTTAACACTAAAAACTTTCCTCTTAGCACTGCTTTAGCTGTGTCTCAGACGTTTTGTTATGTTCTGTCTCTATTTTCATTCATTTCAATTTTTTTATTCCTGCCTTGATTTTGTTGTTCACCCAAAAGTCATTCATGAGCAACTTGTTTCATTTCCATGTACTTGTGTAGCTTTGAGAGTTCCCCTTGGTATTGATTTCTAATTTTATTCTACTGTGGTCCAATAGGATACTTGATGTGATTTTGATTTTCTTGAAAGTATTGAAATTTGCTTTATGGTCAAGCATATGTTCAGTTTTGGAGAGTGTTACATGGGCGGTGGAGAAAAATGTATATGCTGTAGTTGTTGATTAGAATATTCTGTAAACATCCATTTGGTCTAGAGTCCAGTTTAAGTCCAGAGTTTCTTTGTTGACATTTGCCTTGATGACCTGTCTAGTGTTGTCACTTGGTATTGAAGTCCCCCACTATTATTGTATTGCCATCAATCTCTTTTCTTAGGTCTATTAGTAGTTGTTTTTGAATCTGAGCGCTCTGGTGTTGGATGAATATATATTTAGGATAATTAAATCTTTTGGTTTAATTGAGCCCTTATCATTATATAATGCCTTTCTTTGCCTTTTCTTACTGTTGCTGGTTTAAAGTCTGTTTTATCTGATATGAGAATGGCTACTTCGGCTTTGTTGTGTTTTTTATTTGCATGCTATATCTTTTTCCACCCCTTTACTTTAAGTCTGTAGATGTGCTTAGCTATTCTGTGGGTCTCTTTTTGGCAGCAGATGGTTGGTTTTTGTCTGTTACCCAACTTGCTGGTCTACGTATTTTGGATGGAACATTTAGGCATTTATGTTGAAGGTTATATTGATATATGAGGTTTTAATCCTGTCATAATTTGCTAGCTAGTTGCCTTGGATTCTCAATTGTATGATTGTTTTATAGGATCTTTGAGCTTTCTACTTATGTGTGCCTTTATGATGGTGAGTGACATACTTTTGTTTCCATCTTTAGAACGTCTTTGAGCATTTTTTATGGGGCCTGTTTAATGGTGATAAGTTCCTCTCGTGTTTTCTTTTCGGTTAATGACTTTATGTCTTCTTCATTTTATGAAGCTTATTTTGGCTGGATATAAAATTCTTGGATGGCACTTTTTAAAGGAAGCTAAAATTAGGTCCCCATTCTCTTCTGGCTTGTTAAAATTTCTGCTGAGAAGTCCACTGTCAGTCTGATGAGATTTCCTTTATTGGTGATTTGATGCTTTTCTCTAGCTTCTTTTATGATTTATTCTTTCACATTGAACTTGGATAGTCTGGCGACTATATCCCTCGGTCATGTTTGTATTCTGTAGTGTCTTCTAGGTGTTCTCTGAATTGCTTATATCTGGATATCTACGTCTCTAACAAGATTGGGGATATTTTCCTGAATTAGTTCCTCAATTATGCTTTCCAAACTTCTTTTCTTTTTTCTTTCTGCCTATAAGTTGCAAGTTTGGTCACTTTACATTATCCCATATTTCTCAAAGACTTTGTTCATTTTTTAAAAATTATTTATTCTTTAATTTTATCTGATTTAATTCAAAAGACCAGCCCTCATGCTCAAAATTATTTCTTATGCATGGTCTAGTATGTTATTAAAGTTTTCAATTCTGTTTTGAAATTCCTTTCATCTTTTTTTCACTTCCAGAATTTAAATATATATATATATATATATTTATTTATCTTTTATCTCCTGAATTGTTTTCTGATTTCTTTGTGTTTGTTTGTATGTGTTTGACTTTATTTTGGATTTCATTGAGCTTCCTTACAATCCATATTCTGAATGTTTTATCTGTCATTTCAAAGTTTTCATTTGATTAAGATTCATTGCTAGGTAGGTACTGTGACGTTTTGGGGATGTCATTACATTCTTTTTCTTCGTAGTCCTGAAGTTCTTATGTTGGTTCCTTCTTATCTGTAGAAGCTGTCACATATTACTTTTGAATTTATTTTCATGTGGACGTGGTTCACCCCCTGCCGCCGCCCCTCTTGGGGGGTGTGACTGTAGAGTAGGTTGGGAAGTAGCCAGAAGTCTTTTGGCTTTGTTTCTATAGGCCTGTGCACTTCTTAGTCAGGTTTTTATGTTGGGTTTTACAGTTCAATCTATAGGGCAGTAGGTGGCATTTACCAGTACAAGCCAGCTGTGGCAAAAGCAGATCGGTATGCACTTGATATTTGTTTATTGTGTGGTGCTCTATGTTGTTTCAGATGATGGGCTGGACAGTGGAATGCCAGGTTCCCTGACCTTTTTGTCCCATGAGGGGTGAGGGGAAAGGGAGCTAGGCAGAGCTTGATTGTCTGGCTTGCACACAAATACCCCAATGATGAACTGGGGAGCCAGCCCTGACAGGCATGGTTGGGGGAGTACCTGGTGAGCAGTGCCAAGGTCTCAGCAGAGAGTAGGAAGACTAGCTTCACATCCTAGACAGGTAGCAATATGTTCTATTTATCTATCACACCCCTGACTCAGAGCTCATGGCTCTCAGTTCAGATCCACAACTGCCGTGTATCTCCAGACCGCAGTATAGCTGATAGCCACAGAAGACACTTGTCTATGGGAGTTGTTTCTGGGTGGAACCTCCTGAATCAGTCCAATACACACAGCTTTGTGACTCACCTGTTTGCCAATGGGTAATGCTTCTGCTTTCTGTAGATATCACAGAGGGGCTCCACTTTTTAGCACACACAGTTGGGTATTAGCTGTGGCAGTATCGTCTGGTTGGGTCCCTCTGAGCTCAGACCCCAGGTTGAGGCATGGTCATGTACTAGCAGTGGTAGACAGGACTAGGCAAACTTCCAATTCCTTATCCCCCAGAATGCCCAGGAGACAGCATGTATGAGTCCTGTAAGAAGTGGACCAGGACCAGGCCAGTGGACTTGTTAAGTCTCTAGACTCCTGCTGCTGGCTATGATAGGGAGTGATGGGCTGGTTCTTGGAGTCACAGGCAGAACTCTCAAGCAGAGGCAGGGAGAGTACTCTGGAAGTGGGAGTCCTAGGGTACATCATGTGCCTGTGGAGGCTGGGATCTCAGAAGGGCCTACAAAACACTTAGGCAGTTGCAGAATGCTCAGGCAGTTGGTGCATCAATGCATATTGCAGACCTGTGGGGCTGGGCTCTCGGGAGCGCCCACAGAATGCTCAGAATATAGCAAAACACTCAGGTGATTGGGTCCCTATGGCTGATCACAGGCCTGTGGGAGCTGGTCTCTTAAAAGGGCCCACAGGATTCTCAGATTATCACAGAACGCTCTGGTGGTGGGATTCCCATGGCTGATCACATGCTTTGGGGTCTGGGCTCTCAGAATGGCCTGCAGAATGCTTATGTGGTCGAAGTCCCAAGGCCCATCACAGGCCTATGGGGGGCTAGGCTCTCAGAAGGCCTCCAGGTAACAGGTGAAATAGTTGGGAGCAGGGCCGCTGGGCTGCTGGCCTTTCACTGGGGAAGGCAGACCCCTTCAGCTGAAGCAATGAAGGTTGGCAGCTATGGGGTGCTTGGCCCACCTGCACTTCCCTCCTGAAGGAGCAGCAGTGGATTTCACTTTGGTGGGCACACAAAGGTGCCCAGTTTCCCCACTGTCTCCTTGGCCCAGGAGTGGCAAGTGTGATGGTGGTGTTGGGCGCAGCTATTGAGGGAGCTGAAGAGCGGGTCACGAGCCTCTGGGGGCTGGGCTCTAAGAAGAACACCAGGCTGTGGCCAGTATATACATGTAAGGGCAGGGCAGCTGTGCTGTAGACCCAACACTGAAGAAGGGAGGCCTCATTTAGAAGGGAACAGCTGAGACCGGCAGTCTTTGCAGCGTGCATTCTGCTCACTCCTCTGTACTGCAGCTGCAGTATCTGTCTTTGAGGTGTGCACAAGTACCAGCCTCCCTGCTCCCTGCCTAGTGAGGTGGCAGCAGCCGGCGCCAGGCTGCTCAGGGATCAAAAGTCCATGGGATTCCACATGGGCTTGAGCAGTACCTCTGCACAGATTCCAGGCAGCTCCGTGTATTAAACTGGAGGCCTAGGGGATTCAAGGGGGTTTACCTATGGTTAGCATTGAAAGTCTGTGGCAGAATTGTGGAATCCTGGGGGTCTCTCACTCAATCTTCCCTTCCCTGCATCGAAGATCTCCTGGCTCCACACCAGTCTCAGTTCACCTGACGGCATGGCTTTGTTCTCTTCTTTCTGTGATTCCCAATTCCATCACTTCTCTGATGAATTCTAGTGTGGCCTCTTAGAAAATCTACTTGAAGTGTCAATATTTATTGCTATTTTGATTCCTCACCATGAGAGAGGCATCCACTAGCCCACTAGCTGTTTCTAGTAAGCCATAATGAACTAAAAGTCATGTTTACATATTTAAATACATAAAAATTACTCAAAAGTAATTCCCTATTTATTTTTCCCCACTGTGGGACTGTAAGCTTTTTAAAAAATAGATTTCAAAAGAAGTGGCTTTTATATATTATTAGAAATTTTCTATGCCTTTCAAAAGCATAGATTTTAGCAAGATAGATTGTTAGACGACTAAATTTTCAATTATCTGATACAAGCCTAAACAGTACATTTAACGTATATTTTTTATGTGAAAACAATATTTTAGATGAAATATGCACTTTTTAAAAATAATTATTGATTTTGAAAGCCTTGAGCATTTTAGTTATTACTGTGCTGTATTTGCATGGTTATATTATCAATGAGCATTCAAAAACTTCTGATATCCAAAATTGAGCATTCCTTGTGAATTCAGCTTGTGGCATCATTGCTATGTTTCTTGGCCTCATTACATCTTGAACATTATCTCTCAAAATTTTAGAATTTGGTTAACAGTTATCTGAAACTATGAAATTGTTAGTCTTCTATTATGGACTGTGAATATTATGTTCTGCTTTGTTTTACAAAGTATAATAATTTTTAAAGTCTTAATACGTTTTGTGTTATCTGGTTGTCCCTTCTAGAAATTATATAAAAGAGAAGTTCAACCTCCTTTCAAACCTGCTTCTGGAAAACCAGATGATACTTTTTGTTTTGATCCTGAATTTACTGCAAAAACACCTAAAGGTAATGCATGTTTATCTGTAAAATCAGAGATTTTATTTAAGTAGATAGTTTAAAAATAAACTTTCTTGTGAAGTAAAAACTAAAAGAATGGTAAATTTGCAGAGAGTTGATTTGTCCATGGGAAATATGGATCCTATACAAAACATTGCTTGGGCAGCTGTCAAGTAGATGTTTTAAATGGGAAATATTTATCAGGAAGGAAGGAACTTGGTCAAAGGGTGGCAAGTTTATTTCTTTGTTTTATAAGTCCTTTGGCATGCTAATGATTTACAGGATGGGGTAGGAGGTAAGACGTGAGATATATTACTCTGTCTTTTACAGTTTCATACATACACTCAAGAAATATTGAATACCTACTATGTACTAAGCAATGAGGATGCAGTGGTGAAAAGAACAGACAAAAAATACTGACTAAAATGGAGCATGTATACAGATGGGAGGAGACAGATAATATATAATAAATCAAATATATAATATGTTAGTAGCATTTAATGGTTTCCTTTATAGTTAAAGAAATTCTGACACTTTATATCATAGAATTCTGTGTGTAGTTATAATTAAATGTAATTATTTGGACATTAGATTCTCCCGGTTTGCCAGCCAGTGCAAATGCTCATCAGCTCTTCAAAGGATTCAGCTTTGTTGCAACTTCTATTGCAGAAGAATATAAAATCACTCCTATCACAAGTGCAAATGTATTACCAATTGTTCAGGTAAATTCCACTTAATCACATTATTCAGTTTTGGGATAATTATTTCTCTGTTATTGCTGATGTATTTTTAATCGTTTTTTTTAAAGTGATTTTTAACTTCTTTGTTTATCTATTGGTATAAATCATGAATTAAATATGTCCCTGTGTGTTTTGGAAAAGAGCAGACAGTGGTAACTTTTAATTATATTTATGTGGCCTCTTTTGAATAAAATAGAAGGGTGATGTATAAGCTAGTTGCTTTATTATGTTGCCTGTGGGTATCAAGAAAGGATTGGTTCACGCCATTTATAAATGTCGATAAAACTTCTGTAGAATGAATTATTCTAGTTTAAGGCTTAAGATGAATGTATATTTAGGACAAAAGACAGAAAATGTGAAAATATTTCATTCTCCTTAGTATTTTACTTTTTAAAAATAAACAGATAAATGGAAATGCTGCACAATTTGGTGAAGTATATGAATTGAAGGAGGATATTGGTGTTGGCTCCTACTCTGTTTGCAAGCGATGCATACATGCAACTACCAACATGGAATTTGCAGTGAAGGTATTGTCTCTGAGCCTAGCTTTCTTGTTTGTTTTATGCATGTAATTTAAATTATGAGTCAACTGACAAACATTTTCAGTGGAGTAAATGAAGATAGGAAAGATAAGATGATGAGAAAGAACTCTGAGACTTAATATTTTCATTTTTGAATTTCTTTTCAAGCCTTTGTTATGTAGGAACAGTGTATTTCATGAATTTTTGCATTTGAATAATTTTGTTATACATGTATTATGTTAAGATTGAGCAGTTGTGATAATTACAATCACGTCATCATTGGTACAATTTCAGTGAAATAGGATATAATGTTAAAATTTTATTTTTTTCTGTTAAGTTTTTTACTTATGTTTTTAAATGTTAAAATAATATGAGGTAAGTATTGTTCTTGAGTTTTTAAGCATTTCTTCAAAAATATAACCAAATGGAAAATACTCATTTTAGACAAAATAATTTGTTTGCCTCAGATATTTTTCTTTTTTCGTATTTCTTAGATCATTGACAAAAGTAAGCGAGACCCTTCAGAAGAGATTGAAATATTGATGCGCTATGGACAACATCCCAACATTATTACTTTGAAGGATGTAGGTATTTCTAAATCTAGGTATCAGCTAAGCTAATGAAGTTATGAATTGGAACTTTATTTTTCTTATTGAAACTTTTAATGTCTTTAGCATATTTATTTTCATGCCTCAAAAATCTCAGGACTCTTAAATTGCCACTTTAATTCTTTTTTTTCCCATGATTCTATACTTCTAGTCTTATAGAATATCAAAAATAACTATGATGATTGGTAAATGAGAATTTCCTCATTACATGAATATATTCTGGCTGGTTAACTAGTTAACATTGTAGCTAACACCAATTATTATTCTGTAGTGCTATCAATACAGAAGATACAGGAGACTGGGGATCTGCCAAATTCTTGAATATTTTACTTTCTTGATTGTATAGTAATTGGCTATAGCATTATGGATTGTTTCTGGAGTGAAATAGTCTTAGTCTATAGTTTTGTAAAATGAATGTATAACTCATTAATATGTTACTGAATGCTCACTTTTCACATAAGGAGATAATGTTCTTTTCTCTTTATACAAGACAGAAAAGTCAACTATCACCTTGATCAATTTGTGTCAGAAAATGATATGCACTTTGATTTGTAATCTTTAAACTACTGTGGTGTGTGTGTGTGTGTGTTTATCATACATGCCCTGAGTGAAAAGTGTATAAATACTTTTCTTATTTGTTTTCCTTGGTATACTATTGGAATTCAACCAGTATTTAAGATACCAAATCAGATAATGAACTGAGGGAAGGGTATAAAAAATAAATAATGTATTTACTTTCAGAAAGAAGCTTACGTTTGGGGAAGAGAAGTAGCTATAATACAGTAAAAAAATTGAGATAGAGGTCATTTGAGAGGCACAGAGTTCTATTTTTTAATTTCTTTCTTTGATGAACTGCAACCTATAACTTCAAAAGGCAATAAAATTATATGTTTAACATGGTTTCATGGGACTGTGTAGGTGACTGTTTAGCCAATTCAACCTTTAGTACAGCCTGTACTGCATTAAGAGTAAAGGAATAATGTCTTTTTTGTTTCTAATACTAGAGGGAAGTCTAGTAGAAAGGTAAATATAATTAAAATCTAATTTAAGAATTATAGAATTGTAATTATAAATAATAACATTTTAAAACTGCGTTCTTTTGTAGGTCTTTGATGATGGTAGATATGTTTACCTTGTTACGGATTTAATGAAAGGAGGAGAGTTACTTGACCGTATTCTCAAACAAAAATGTTTCTCGGAACGGGAGGCTAGTGATATACTATATGTAATAAGTAAGACAGTTGACTATCTTCATTGTCAAGGAGTAAGTTGTAGTTAACTTTTTTCTTTCTATTCTGGGACCTATATCTTCATGAAAATATAGGAGATGATGCCACCTAAAATAAGTTGCTTTTATTCACATATATTTCTATAGAGAATATCCTAATAGAACTCACAATGTAGTGAAGTTTATGGATTTAGGAAATAATTATTTTCTCTCTGCCAATTGGCCCTGATTTAATAGCATATTCATTTAAAAAGCGGTTTGAATTATATAAATGTACCTAACTTTGACCTTGAAATTATGAAACTTAGACTTAAAAGTCAAACATAAAAGAATTAACCAAAGACATACAGTGACTATTATTCAAGTTACCTAACATATAAAGTTCAGATTACCTAACATGTATCTTGAACCTTGCCAGCTCCTTCCCTAAATACAGTAAGAAATGTGTATTCTAAACATTTCAAGTATTACTATATTAAATTTTGTGGTGAAGGGGCAGGCTTGTTATTTTGCTTCCTGTCCTTTCATAAAGAAGGCAAATGAACTGAGTTACAAAAAAAGGGAACTTTTAATATATATAACTGTATAAAAAAACAAAGTAGGGAGTAATTTAAAAATTTAAGTTTGAATCAGTTGTAATAGTAGATATGTACCAACTTAATAAAGAAATTTAAAATGGCAATTTAGAATTGACATAATGAAAACTCTGCATGAGCCCCTCTTATAATTAGTAAAAATAGTACTCAATTTTGTGTGTGGTTTAATAAAGTGTGTTTTCAGTATTTTTTAATATATAATGCTAAACAGTAGCTTTTTATAATTTAATTATTTGATTGTCTTTACCAACCCTCTCTAAAATAAAGCATGAAGAGAATTTTTGAGAAAAGCATCATAGGCGTCTCTTCTTTATTATTGTATGAACCTTCAGGTTCTTACTTCAATTAACTAAATTAATAAGACACATATTGAGCATTTCTACAGGCCAGGCATTGTAAAAAGTGTTGTGGATTCAAACATGAGTGAGACCTGGTCCTTGTCCTTAAAGAGCTTTAGCATAGTAAACTCTGATTAAAGATAAGGATAACTTACATGAAATAGAGAGTACTAGTAGGGAACTTATCACATGGGGGAATTTCAGCATTTTTTTTTACCAGTCCTACATTTTATTTGTTTCTTCTTTATTGTTTCTATTTTTCTGCTGAGACTTCCCTTTTTTTGCTGAGAGTTTAATGCATTGAAAGCATGTTTTGTTTTACTTTGTTGAGGATCATTATGATAGTCACTTTAAAATCCTTATCTGTTTTAGCATGGTTCATCTTGGAATCAGAATTTATTGATTTTCTTAAGACTGTGTTCTATTTTCTTGGTTCTTTGTATAACAGATAATTTGGGATTGTATCCTAAGCATTATAATAATCAGTTATAGAGAATTTCATATTTCATTATTTTTCTCCAATAGTTATTATTGTTTCATTTGTTTAAGTGGGTAATTTTCTTGGCTGGGCTTGAACTGAAAACTAGTTTTGGGGCCAGCAGCTCTGGTTTTTGTTCATATTATTTGTCTTTATACAAATTATTTTGATCCTGTTCCACACATTTTTGATACAAGGATCAGTTCTGGCTCTTTCCTTTATAATATTCCTCCACTCAGCATTCAGAGTTTTCCAGCATCTCCTTTCTGGTCCTCTAAGCCAGAAGGTCTGAGGGTTTTTCCACATGTCTTTACCACCACTGTGTACCATAGGGATTGCACTTAAACCCAGGCTAAAAGCCACAGATATGGAAACCTCCTTGTATGGTTTCCTGTGTTCCCTCCTTCAACAAAGTGTGTACTCCTCATCAGAGTATATCTGCTTCTGTTCATTCTCCAGTGCCTTCAGATAGTTGATTTTTGTATTATATCCAGGTTTTATGGTTGTTTACTTCAAGGAGGGGGGTGTTGAGTAGGGTCTTAGTCCATTATGGACTAAGTCTAAACTTAGTTTAGTTTGTAAGTCAGGAACTGTTCTTATATGTTATGTATAATGCTAAGTGATATAAATTATGGCATGTCCAAAAGTGGATCTGAGAATTGAGCTTAGATATATTGAGATTAGAAATGGTTAACAAAACTAGTGGCTTTTGAGACAATAGAAACTGGAACATCTATCTGACAGACATAATTTCCTGTGTATATTTTAGGCTATTAAGCTTGAGCAAAATGTCATTTTCAAAATTTTGTAATTTGGAAAGTTTCTTTTTCTCAGATATTTAGTTAATTATATAGATATAATGTTTTATTTCTCAGATATTTAGTTAATTATATAGATATAATGCTTTTTTCCTTTATATTCAAGGTTGTTCATCGTGATCTTAAACCTAGTAATATTTTATACATGGATGAATCAGCCAGTGCAGATTCAATCAGGATATGTGATTTTGGGTTTGCAAAACAACTTCGAGGAGAAAATGGACTTCTCTTAACTCCATGCTACACTGCAAACTTTGTTGCACCTGAGGTATTCCTTAAAAACTTCACCATTTGCCTTTCATTCTTTTCCTTTAGTTGAATCTATATGATGCCATATGAATGTTATGGTAGGCAGATAAAAGCTGTTACCTTGCCCTTTTCAGTTTTAAAGTTCTTTAAATCAGGGAATTCTCATAGCCCCTAATATAAATATTTACACTGGTAACTAGCATCTAAAACCAACCAGAATGTAATAATCAGGCTATTCTATTCTGTTGGGTTATATACTAATTTCAGAATCATATCATTTTAGAGTTGGGAGGTAGGGAAAAGATAGCCACAGCTTCAATATATTATGTATTCTAAATGATGAAACTGGCTCGAGGTACTTCAATGACTTATTCAAGACCCAGCATTCACTTAATAACAAAGCTAGGATAGATTCATCAGGTATGTTAAATTGTACTGAACATTAGGTAATTTATATAGATTAGCATTATAAATAACATATAAGGGCAGTGCTATCCTCGATTGTCTTTAGGATCTTCTAACTCCCGGAGAAAATAGCCACACAGGGGTTTTTGTAAGCCGTGGGGATTTTTCTTGGAAAATAATATTTATATCTAAATATTAGGGTGAAGAATCAGGAAAGGTGATGCTCTTAGGGAGAAGAGTCAGGAAAGGGGAGGCTGTGGTACAGATTTCACATTTGGGAAGCTGTAACATTCATTCTAACCATGGGGATGAGAGCTTTGACAGTAGCAATTTCCATAGCAGTGAAAGTGAAGTTGGGGAAAAATGAATCAAGAGATGGCATTGGCCATATAAGTTCTTTATAAGCTTTCTTTGTCAAGTCAGTAGCTGTTCTTATATGTTATGGATAATACTGACATGTAATTACATATTCAATGAAAATCAAAATACCTAAAACTCTTCAGATTTGAAAAAATTGATGTGTCAATCAAAGGAGAAGCAGAGTAAAATAATTTGAGAAGAATTCCTATCTTCTATATATTTTATGATTTTATTTTTATATCAAATACTAGCTTTTTCAGGGAAATATTGCACATCAGATATATTAACAATAAGCCACTTGTATTTTAATGTAAATCAGTCTTTATTTTAAAGTAGCTACTATAAAAATAACTTTAATAATGAAAATAGAAATATAGAAAATACTATACTGATATTGAAGAACAGGCAGAACATCTGTTTTATAAGCTTTTTATGATAAGAGATTTGACTAAGAAATTATGTATGTATCCGGAGAATGTGATTTAATCTATATTTTAATAAAATTCATAAAATAATGTACAAGTTTTTATCTGTTACAACATATTGTACTGCCCTAAGGTGTATGAGATAATAGCCTGCACATAAAAAAATTAGCCTTTTTAGGACATTTCAGTGGTTTTATAGGAGGACAGAATATTTGAGATAGTGCTCTTCTGTTATGTATAGCATATATGGTCATCATAAAGGTCCTCATAAATATTCTAACAGATTTATACAGTAGACATAAGAGCAGAGTATAGAATAACCATTTTAATAGCCAAATATTTAATATTGACTTAATCTTGTGGACCTAAACTACTTAGTATTATGGCAACTTCTCACTGGAAAAATGTTAAGGTGAATATGTACCATATGAACATATCAACAACAGACATTAAAATGAAAAATATATAATATGTCCGTGTTTAGATTAATGGTTAGGTAAACAGTTTTAGATTAATGGTTAGGTAATCAAACCCAGAGAGTAGAATACAGCCCATTGATGTTTTTTTCCCAACAGACGTACACTGTAGTAAGACACTTTTACCATTGTAATAGTGAAGGTTTTCAGGTGGGCATCTGGAGACCACTTCTCTCTAACTAGTGCTTGAACTACCTTTGACTAGTATTTGTATTTTCAAAATACTTTGAAAGTTTTATTTTTGAGTGATGAAGCCCATGCTAGGAATCAATAATATATTTGTAAATTGTTATTAATGAACCACAGAGAGTATTTTTAGTGAGGTTTGTTTCTGAAATTTCAGACGCTTTCAAAAGGTATTAGTAAAATATAAAAATGCATTCTTTTTTAAACTAGAATTGGAAAGATTCAAATATCGATACAGACATTTCAATAAAAAATGGCATTTATGGGGGTATACATTCATTATTTCACAATGCATAAAGTTTTTGCTAAGAGCTACACTGATTATTGCAATTTTAGCTTAACAATAAGGAGAAAATATTCTTTTAGTTTTTAGATTATGCATCAGTTTGATCAACCTCTTGGGGTTTATTAGGTAGATGTGCTTTTCTACTATACCTATGTTGCAAAAAGTGAATATATCTCTAAAATATTTTATTCTTCGATAAAGGCAAATCCACTACGTTATATTATTCAACTGTTATTATAAGCCTACTGAGGTTAAAGAAGTTCCTGAATTAATGGGGCTTACAAAAAAGTTGAGGGATACTGTGTCTGTAGCTTTTTATAAACTAATTTTGAAGTTAACTCTCCTTTGCTCTTTCTCTGGGCTGTCATATAGTTTGCCCCAAACGTTAATTGATTTGAGCAACAGGAATGAGGAGCTCTGTGTATGTTACTTTCTGCTGACTTGGGAAGCCAAATGAGAGAGAGACTTATGCCACTGACTACTTTAATTGTGACTTCTATCTTTGTATTTAACTTGATACAAGTAAAAAGGTGTGAAACATAACCTCTGTACTCTTTCATTCATCCTACCGCTCTGCCTTGTTTCTTTTATGATTATATGCTCACTAGGGCATTGAGACTAGCTCTAGAAAAAAAGTGGACTGTTTCTTCTTTACCTAAAACAAGTTTTTCATGTTTGGCCCTAATTAAGCAATATGACACCTCCTGCGCAAGTCTGTCCTCATAACTAGGAAGGTTATAGGAGTATATGGTACCTACAGCTGACTTGATTAATTCTCACCTGTCCAAGTAGTTTCTGTGCAGTGGCCCTCAACCTTAGCTATGCATTGGATCACTTGGGAAACTTTAAAAAGCTTCCTAAGGGAATCAGGGAAAACATGGTGATGATTGGAACTGTAAGATGTGATGAGAAAAATGAAGAGATAAGGGAATAAAATCACTAGAAGTCTATGTTTTACTAGAGTATGCCAAGTTAACATTTACCATGATATGAGTGGTTTAGCTATACCTTGTTATTTGTTAAGTACTTTATAGTTCCCTACTTGTATTATTTAAATAAGCCAATTATGCTTTTATATCCTCTTTACCCTCTTAATTTTGCACATATGTGTGTTTTTATGAATACACTAAGACTAGGAAAAAAGCATATTTCAAATTTTAAGTTTGTTATATACTCTTTACTCATGTTTGGCAGTTGTCAAAGCCAAACACTAACATTTTTAGCCTTTTATAGATGAGAAATTCATGCTGGTGGTTATATAATCCCCAGTGTTAATGCATTAATAATGTTTCTATTTTGTTCCTATGCCTAGAGGCTTTAGCAATGGGCTTGTTTTTCTAAATGGAAAGAAAATGGCCTCATTTCATCTCTTTATTTTTCTAACGAACTCTATTAACTTCGTAGCTAAATCTCACATGAATACATAGCAAATGTATTATTTGATTTTTATTAACACTGGCCCCAAAAAACAGCTTCCTAAATTATTGTATGAAAAATAATGAAGCCATTCAGTATTTTTCAAATGTGTACTTGTGGTCCAGAAATATACTGCTGTTTTCAAGACATTGACCTTGTATGGTAAAATATAAATTCATTCTGCTTTTGTGAGATTATATATTATCTTGCCATATCTTGTGTAGTAAAGAGGCAGTTATCATAGATATTAAAAACACAGGCTTAAATAAGACTTCGTGTTCTACTACTTACTAGTTTTGTAATGTTGGGTAAGTTACTTAACATTCACTTCAGTTTCCTCATCTTCAAAATTGGAATATTGTCTACCTCACAGAATCAGTGACAGAATTAAAAGCCTTAGTACTGTATATAGTATACATTAAAATCTCTGTACATGTTAATCTTAAGTTTAGATTTCTCTATATCTGGTTTCCTAAGAGGAGGAGAGAAAACTCATTGAGGTGTCAGGGGTTATGTCTTTACTACAAGTGCATAAAATGATTGAAGTTTTTATATTATGAACTTTTGTGAGATTATTAGAAGTAAAACAACTTCTTTGGGAGAAAATTGAGTTTATATTGAGTAACACCATATAATGAGTATTTCTTTCTTAGGTTCTTATGCAACAGGGATATGATGCTGCTTGTGATATCTGGAGTTTAGGAGTCCTTTTTTACACAATGTTGGCTGGGTAAGAAACATATATTCAAAAGCATTAACATTGTTATTTGAATTTCATCTGTATATCTTCATCTAGAAAGAGAATAGATTAAAATAACTTTAAGGAAAATGACATTTACATTTCAAAATATTAATATTGATTGTTACACATAAAATTAAAAAACATAAAGCAAGGTGTAGAATGAGGCACTACTAATTTATGACATAATAATTTTAAAAGGCAGTTGTCACCCAGAACTAAAACTTTTAAAAATAAAGTGCATTTCTATTTTAATCTTGAAAATATTTATTTAATCATAAAATAATTGCATGTTTCACCAACAACTTGCCCACTGAACTTGTTGATATTGAGTTGATTTTTTTTAAGCACTTGAATTCTAACTATTCTGGCACTAGAGATTTAGTAAGATTGTGCAAATCTAAGTAGTAACAATACTAAACTGCAGAAACACACACAACTACCTTCCCTTGAAAGGATAAAGAAAAGCTCAAAACAAATGTAATAACAATTGGACTATGTTAATGTTGATACTTTACAAATAATACAAGTACTATTTTACTCTCAATAATGAGTAGCACTTTTATTTAGAAGTGAAAACTTATGGATGTAGAAATTATTCCAAGAGGGTTGTGATAGAGAAAATGGCCAAGTTTAGCAAGTAATTATAATGTACTTAGACATATATTTTAAAGAGTGCATTTAGTATAGTTTAAATATGCTTGACATACCAAGAGCTCTATAAATATGTTATAAAAATGGTGACTCTAAATTGTTTAATGGCTTGGTGTTAATTACACATCTCAGTACATTTCACATACTTTTAGGTATTACAAATTTATGCAAAATATTTAGTTATAGACAACAGTAAATACTGAAGTTAAGGGTAGCTAAAGTTTGCATGTCAAGCACAATTAATCTACATGATTGATCTACATAATAAATGTAATGGCTATGGAGTTTTGTGTCGATATACATATTTAACCAACCAAGTTTTCATAGATATTAATAAAAAGTAATGATAACCGTTTCCACTGATGATAATGATGAAATGTTAATGAATAAATTGAAACAAGACAATAAATACATTATGAATATATGAAATTAACATTTTCTTTTTACTAGGTATATTTGTTTGCTAACCTATGCCTTGAATATGTGTGTTTTAGTGTTGTCTAGTTTTAAGACTGAAGCTTTACATGAAAAGCCACCTTTATTTTATTTTACATTGATTAGCTAATCAGAGACAAAAGAAATAATTGATGTAAACAAGATTCTCCATTTTATTAAACATTTTATTAAGGTTAAATTTATGGTTTGAAATATAAAATTTGACTTTAACAGTGAAAGGAAATATGAGATGATATTCTTATTCACTGAAGTAAATATTTGCATGTAGTAAATATATGTATCTCTTTCATTGTTTGGGTATGTTACCCTCTAGTGTCTATTAAAATCTATTTTATTAATAGCTACACTCCATTTGCTAATGGCCCCAATGATACTCCTGAAGAGATACTGCTGCGTATAGGCAATGGAAAATTCTCTTTGAGTGGTGGAAACTGGGACAATATTTCAGACGGAGCAAAGGTATAAATTATAATGTTTTGTTTTGTTGCATTCATGTTAAATTGCTCAAATCCCTAAGTTATAGCTTAGTGTGTGTTTGCAGAGTATCTAATGGTGTCATATGTAAGTGTTTTGAATTAACACATCTATGAGTGAATTGAACAGTGTACAAAGGATAACTTTTGGTTTTACCATGTTTCTGGGCCACCTTCCTTTCTGATCAATTTACATATGTGCAGGGAATATTAACTAGTTCCTGTATTAACCAAAACCAAAAATGTAAATTTTGGAAACAGGGTATATTTAAAGCCAACTAAAGTTTATTTCTAGATTTACCATGTATTTCCATATCATTTTCTTTTAGCTCAGAAATTGACTTGATTATGTAGACAATTTTTATAATGCTAACTTATTCTTAGAGAATGAATGGACTATGTATCTGTGGCACCTGGATATTCATTCCTGATGGCTTAGAGTGGTCCAGTAGAAATATAATGCAAGGCAAATACACTTTAAAAATTTCTAGTAGCCACATTAAATTTTTTAAGTGAAATTAAATTTAATAATATGTGTTGTTTAATCTAATATATCCAAAATACTATTCAATATAAAAATTTAGATATTCTTTACTTTTTCTTACTGAGTCTTCAAAATGTACTATATATTTTATACTTAAAGCCGTGTGAATATGGACTACCCACATTTTAATACTTAATAGCCACATGTGGCCAGTGGCTGCCATATTAGTGAAGTTTCAGCATAACTGGCCTTATTTATTTGGGGGAAAAAATAGTCAACCCAGGCTTGAAAACTAATTTCTTACATTTATAATTTTTAAATTTTAAGTTTTAAATGAAAACTATCACTTGTCACCATGTGGCTTTTAGGTCCCAGAAGCTTTTAAGCTACAATTTGAAGTAGAACACATTTTATGACAAAAGTAATTGCTTATAGTTAACATGTGCTAATTATCTCAAGAACACTAGCCAGTTTGTAGAATACATTGCAAAGTAACTCCAGCATCCTGATTATTGTCAGGATAAATAAACTGGGGATTTGTCCCTAACTTTTAAACATTAGAAAAACAGACAAGGGATTGTTCTTGGATCTTAACCTTAGTATGAGTATGCTGTGTGCTATAGTAGAAGGAACACTTGAATGGAAGCCAGGAAAACTGAGCGCTAATCTTTCTTTGGTTCCTTATAACTCCAAAATTCATTTCTATGCAATTTGGTTTATTTGTAATTTGCAAAATTTCCCCATGTAATGTGATTAGAACTACTAGTATTATTCATTAAATATGTATTTTCTAGTCATCCAGTTTATGCTTCAGAAAATACATTTTACCAAGGATCAATTTTAATGTTTAAAGCCATGCATATGAATCTCCTGTGTTCCTTTTAAAAATATCTGCTGAGATCAGGCTGTTGACAGTTCCTGGTTGGCTCACAGTTACCCATGTCAGTTATCTCCGTTAACATTTCCAAGAATCTTTGTAGAACAAGTTCTCCACTTGCAAGGTCTTTTATTTATTTATGTATTTATTTATTTATTTATTTTTATTTTTTTTGAGACGGAGTCTTGCTCTGTTGCCCAGGCTGGAGTGCAGTGGCGCGATCTCGGCTCACTGCAAGCTCTGCCTCCTGGGTTCACGCCATTCTCCTGCCTCAGCCTCCCAAGTAGCTGGGACTACAGGTGCCCGCCACCACGCCTGGCTAATGTTTTTTATTTTTTTTAGTACAGATGGGGTTTCATCGTGTTTGCAAGGATGGTCTCGATCTCCTGACCTCGTGATCCGCCTGCCTCGGCCTCCCAAAGTGCTAGGATTACAGGCGTGAGCCACCACACCAGGCCTCCACTTGCAAAATCTTTAAAGTAGAACTCTTTTTTTTTTTTTTTTTTTTTTCCCTTTAAGGCAGTTAGCCCATTGCCAAAAGGTTTACTGACTTAAGGCTGGAAATGTCTTTCTGAGCTATAATTCCAAGGACTTCTCCACAGCTAAGTGAGATGCCTCATACCAGTATTAGGTGATTCTTTGTGTGGACAGAACAGAGCATTTTCATCTTGTGTTTAAAGCAATTTGTTGGCTTCAGCTCCTCACCACTTTCTATACCAGTCTCCTATTACTAACCCAGTAATCCCTATGCAAAACAAACAAACAAACAAACAAACAGAAAAAGAAAACGCTGATGGTGATTCCTGTAGGTTTAAGGGCTTAAATCTCAAACTTTGTGTTAGGAGTAACGGGAGTGTGCTGAAAGGGCAAGCAATACAACAAGTCATACCAAAAAGCCACATTGTTCTCTCCTAAGCCCCAACCCCACTCCACTCCTGTGGCCAGTGGTCCAAACAGAAAATAACTGGAGAAATTGAGGAGGTCAAAGGATTAGGGAACTAAGCGTTATGTGAATTCACTAGCAAGATGTACAGAATGCTTGTGTTTACATTGTTTTTTATGGAATTAGCAGAATAAAACTGATCTATTTTAAAAATGCAAAAAAAAATCTGCTGAAATAGATGGGGACTTAACATTGCCAATTGTGCTCAAATTTTCAGTTTTCTGTGTTCCATGTATTTTATGTTTAGGCCTATCTGGTGTTTAAGTAATAATACATATTAAAGCTTGGTTTTATTCTTACGTCTCTTTTAGCCTGGTAATCTGGAAAACTTCTCATAGCATAAGATATTAGGGATAGTGTTGACATATCTCATAAGGTCTCTTAGATAATCCCTTTTTATGGATCGGGTGACTTTAGTTCTGTCTTTGAAACTTTTGTAGGAGCTATGAGAACCTTTTAAGAAACTATCTCATGTACCTTTTAACAGTTCTACTGCTTACATTTGTTTTAAACTAGGCATGAAAGTAAACTTGTTCAGTTTCCCATAACCTCTTAAACTAGTACACTTTAGTTGTGAGAACTGTGACATTTGCTGCCCATCAGACATAGATTATTTATTGCCTCTTCATTTGTCTCTTTTAAAAAGATTAACTTGTACCCAGTGAACAATCTCTCACCATCTCCTCACCCACCACTCCCCATCCTCTGGTAACCACTATTCTACTGTCTATTTCTATGAGAACAATGTTTTAGATTCCACATATAAGTGACATCATGTGATATTTGTCTTTCTGTGCCTGGCTGTTTCACTTAACACAATGTCCTCCAGGTTAATCCACGTTGCCACAAATGATAGGATTTCATTCTTCTTTATGGCTGAATGGTGTTTCATTGTGTATATACACACTATATTTTCTTTATCAATTCATATGTTGATAGACACTTAGGTTGATTCCATATCTTGGCTATTGTGAATAATGCTTCAGTGAACCTGAGCATACAGATAGCTCTCCTACATACTGATTCCATTTCCTTTGGATATATATCCAGCAGTGGGATTGCTGGATAATATGGTAGAATTTTTTGAGGAACCACTATACTGTTTTCCATAATGGCTGTGCTAATTTGCATTCTCACCAGCAGTGTGTAAGGGTTCCCATTTCTCCACATCTTTGTCAACACTTATTTTTTTATTTTTTTGATAGTAGCCACTCTGATTGGAGTGAGGTGATGTCTCATTGCATTTTTTTTTTTTGATACGGAGTCTCACTCTGTCGCCAGGCTGCAGTGCAGTGGCGTGACCTCGGCTCACTGCAACCTCTGCCTCCCAGGTTCAAGCGATTCTCCCACCTCAGCCTCCCGAGTAGCTGGCATTACAGGCAGGTGCCACCACACCCAGCTAATTTTTGTATATTCAGTAGAGATGATCTTTCATCATGTTGGCCAGGATGGTCTCGATCTCTTGACCTCGTGATCTGCCCACCTCAGCCTCCCAAAGTGCTAGGATTACACGCTTGAGCCATGGTGCCCAGCCCTCACTGCAGTTTTGATTTCCATTTTCCAGATGGTTAGTTATTTTGAGCACCTGTTCATGTAGCACCTGGTGCTTTATTTTGTCTATTTGGTGAGGTCATGGTTCCCTGAATATTTTTTTTTTGAAAAGTATAATTTTTTTATAATTTTAAGTTCTGGGAAACATGTGCAGGATGTGCAGATTTGTTACATAGGTAAACGTGTGCCATGGTGGTTTGCTGCACCTATCAACCCATCACCTAGGTAATAAGCCCTGCATGCATTAGCTATTTATCCTGATGCTCACTCTCCTCCTGCCCCTCCCCCAACAGGACCAGGTCCTGATTGTGTGTGGTTTCCTTCCCTGTGTCCATGTGTTCTCATTGTTCAGCTCCCACTTATGAGTGAGAACATGGAGTGTTTGGTTTTCTGTCCCTGCGTTAGTTTGCTGAGGATAATAGCTTCCAGCTCCATCCATGTCCCTGCAACAGACATGATCTTTTTTATGGCTGCATAGTATTCCATGGTGTATATTTACCTCATTTTCTTTAGTCTATCATTGATGGGCATATGGGTTGATTCCATGTCTTTGCTATTGTGAATACTGCTGCAGTGAACATACACGTGCATGTATCTTCATAATAGAATGATTTATATTCCTTTGGGTATATACCCTGTAATGGGATTGCTGGGTCAAATGGTATTTATGGTTCTAGATCCTTTAGGAATCACCACACTGTCTTCTACAATGGTCGAACTAATTTATGTTCCCATCAACAGTGTAAAAGCATTCCTGTTTCTCCACAGCCTCACCAGCATCTGTTGTTTCTTCTACTTTTCCTCTACTGTTTTCCCATTACTATTTGGCATGTACTTTATTAGAGCATGTACTACATTCTGCCTGGTCATATATTCACTTGGGTATATTTTTGTTCTTCACACTTAGGAAGCCTTAAATAACATACTTATTTTGCATTTTCTATCACATCTAGCATAATGAGTACTCAATTGGATACTTTTTCATAAGCTAATCATTTCTTCTGGTATATCTTGCATTGTTAATTTACACAGCAAGTGTTTTTGATACATTTTATACACATGTTGTCCTATTGTGAGTGACTATAATTTGCAGTAAGCAGTGAGATTTTACATAAATATTTATTTTTCATTTTGGCTTGAAGTCGCTTTTAATAGAAGATGCTTTTTTCATGTGTTTACAGGTTATAGATTTATAGAGCTAGAAGGCAAGTAGTCCGTCACCTCATCATTTTGCAGATAAATAAACCAAGGCATATAGAATTTAACTTACACATTAATGAGTGGCAGAGTTGGAACTGATTTTCAGTTTAGTACTCTTTTCAATCCACTCACATTAGGGAAAACTTCCTAGAGGAAAAAAGGATTTATTACCTTGTTTCATGTAGATTAAATGGAGGAATGAGAGGTCTGTAACCCTTTAACAATTGAAGGCTCGAAGGAAAGCTATTATTGTTGACCCACTTTGTTTCTGTAGTAATGGACATGAGGTATACAGAACCTTATTACCTGATATGTTTTGGCTGTGTCCAAACTCAAAATCTCATCTTGAATTGTAATCCCCATAATCCCCATGTGTCAAGGGAGACAACAGATGGAGGTAACTGAATCATGGGGGCAATTTCCCCCATGTTGTTCGCGTGATAGTGAATGAGTTATCATGAGATCTGATAGTTTTATAAGTGTTTGGTAGTTCCCCCGCGTCCATTCCCCTTCCTGACTTCCTTGCTTGCGCTCCTCCTTCTACCGTGATTGTAAGTTTCCTGAGACTGTCCCAGCCATGCAAAACTGTGAGTCAATTAAACCTCTTTATACATTTCCCAGTCTTGGGTCTGTCTTCATAGCAGTGTGAGAATGGACTAATACATTATCCTTTACATGATCTGTACTACAGAGCAGTTTTACAGTTAAAATAATATATTGAAGTTCATCTAGAACTCATAGTAGTACCACAGTTTTCAAATGCCTCATGCCAAATTATACTAGTGAAAGACTACACTATCTAAGCCAAGCTAGGAAGGTACATTAGCAAATGCAATAATCAGAAATCAACCCTTGTTTTTTCTGAAAGATAATTATTTATTATTATTTGTGATCAGAGCAGGTGTTGCTGAAGTATATATGGAAGTTATTCATTTATACTGAGGATATATGAATTGTTACACATTTGACCAATTAAACATGCTTACAGAATGAGTAATAAAAAAGTTTTACCTCAGATACATGATTACATTGAAAATAGAAGTGATGAATTATTAATCAGTATTTTCCAAACTTTAATTTGGAATTAAATTTGAGTACTGTGAGAATAGGAAAATTGCTATGCTCCTATATTCATGTATGTTCAAAGTATTTAGAGTTTTGCTGGCTTTTATCCATTTAAAATGGACATTAAAAATAAGAAACCTGAGTACATTGAGAGGGGCCAAGATGGCCAACTATAAGTAGGTGCAGTCCACAGCTTTCATGGAGAGCAGTGAAAATGGTGTGTTAATTCAGCACCTTCAACTGAAATATACAGTTTCGTGTATTGGGACTGACTAGGCAGACAACTCGACCCATGGAGGAGAAAGAATAGCAGGGTGGGGTGATGACACACCTCAGAGTGGCACGGAGACAAAGGAACCCCCAGCCAAGGCAAGTGGTGAGCGATTGTGTGACCCCACCTAGAGAACCGTGCTTCTCCCATGGATCTTTGCAACCCATGGATCAGTAGATTCCCTCATGAGCCCATGCCACCAGGGCCTTTGGTTCAATATACAGAGCTGTGAGGAGTCTCAGTGGGGCAGCTGCTGAGGCACATACAGAGACCCAAGACCCAAGAGTTTTGCATACTCTGGCTCCAGGAATTCCAGCAAGGCAGAAGACCCATCTATACTTCTATCCTAGGAAGGGACCTGAATCCAGGGAGCCAGGCAGCATCATTCTGTGGGCCCCACTTCCATGGCACCTCACAAGTTAAGACCCACTGGCTTGGAATTCCAGCCAACCAGCAGCAACAGGCTGGAAATGGTCTGAGATGGACCAAGTTCCAGGGGGAGGGGTGACCACCAACTCTCTGGTTTGGTTGGGTCAGTCATTCTAACCTGCCAGCTCCGAGGAGTCCAGGCAGTCCAGACGAGGAGGAGTCCCTGATGAAGCAGCACAGCAGCTGTGCCAGATTGTGGCCAGACTGCTTCTTTGAGTGGGACCCCAATCCATCTCTCCTCACTGGACAGATCCTTTCTGGAGGACTTCAGCACTTCAGCCAGGGTTATATAGAGAGAAATTTGATGTTTCCCTAGGATGGAGCCCCTGGTGGGAGGAGTGGCACCAGTTACTGCAGTTCAGTCAACAGCCATTCTAGCCTGCCTGCTCTGGGAAGTCCAGGCAGTCCAGAGGAGGAAGAGTCCCCCACAACCCAGCACAGCTGCTGTGCCAGATCATAGCCATACTGCTTCTATAACTGGGACCCTGATCTATCCCTGTTCACTGGGCGGGGCCTCCCTATGGGAATTTCAGCCACTCCAGCCAAGGTTATTGGGACAGAACTCTGATTTCTCCCTGAGGTAGGGCCCCCGGGGAAGGGGTAGCCAACATCTCTGCAGGTTGTTCGACTCAGTCTTTCCAGCCTGCTGTCTCTGGGGAGGCCAAGCAGTCAGGACAAGGAAGGGTTCCCCCAATGCAGCACACCTGCTCTACCAAAAAGCAGCCAGACTGTTTCTTAAAGTGGGATCCTGATCCCATCCCTCCTGACTGGGTGAGACCTCCCAACAGGGATCTCCAGACACCTCCTACAGGAGCATACAGGTCAGCAACAGGTCAGTATCCCCCTGGGACAGAACTCCCAGAGTAAGGAGCAGATTGTCATCTTTGCTATTTCACAGCCTTCACCAGTGATACTTCCAGGTAAGGGAAAATCAATGAAAGCTAGGGTGTGGAGCAGTCCCCCAGCAAACCACAGCAGCTCTATGGAAAAGTGGCTTGACTTTTAAAAGAACAACAAACAGAAAACAACACAAAACAACAGCACCAACGAAAAAGACACCACAAAAACCTCACTCAAAGGTCAGCAACCTCAAAGATCAAAGGTAGGTAAGCTCACAAAGATGAGAAATAATGCAAAAATGCTGAAAACTCAAAAAGGCAGAGGACCTCTTCCCCTTCAAATGACTGAGATGGCTGAATTGACAGAAGTGGGCTTCAGAAGGTGGGTAATAACAGGCTTTGTTGAGCTACAGGAGCATGTTGTAACCCAATGCAAAGAAGCTATGAATCATGATAACACAATAGCTGGTAACAGGAGCTGACAACTAGAATAGCCAGTTTAGAGAGGAGCATAAGTGACCTGATGGAGCTGAAAAACACAAGAACTTCACAACGTAATCACAAGTATCAGTAGCAGAATAGATTAAGCAGAGGAAAAAATCTCAGAGCTTGAAGACTATCTTTCTGAAATAAGACAGGCAAACAAGAATAGAGAAAAAAGAATGAAAACAAACAAAACTTCAGAGAAATATGGGACTATGTAAAAAGACCAAGCCTCCAACTGATTGGGGTACCGGAAAGAGATGGGGAGAATGGAACCAAGTTGGAAAACACACTTCAGGATATTATCCAGGAGAACTTCCCCAACCTAGCAAGAAAGACCAACATTCAAATTCAAGAAATCCAGAGAACCCCAGTAAGATACTCCACCAGAAGATCAACCACAAGGTACATAATCATCAGATTCTCCAAGGTTGAAATGAAAGAAAAAATGTTAAGGGTAGCCAGAGAGAAAAGGCCAGGTCACCTACAAAAGGAAACTCATTAGACTAACAGCTGACCTCTCTGTGGAAACCCTACAAGCCAAAAGAGCTTGGGGGCCAATATTTTAACATTCTTAAAGAAAAGAATTTCCAACCCAGAATTTCATACCTGGGCAAAATAAACTTCACAAGCGAAGGAGAAATAAGGTCTCTTTCAGATGAGTAAATGCTTAGGGAATTCTTCACGACCAGGCCTGCCTTGCAAGAGCTCCCGAAGGAAGCACTAAATATGAAAAGGAAAAACTGGTACCAGCCACTACAAAAACACACTGAAGTACACAGACCAGTTACATTATGAAACAACCACATAAACAAGTATGCAAAATAACCAACTAGCATCATAATGACAAGACCAAATTCACACATAACAATATTAACCTTAAATGTAAATAGGCTAAATTCCTCAATTAAAAGACACAGAATGCCAAGCTGGATAAACAGTCAAGACCCAATGGTATGCAGTCTTTAAGAGACCCATCTCACCTGCGAAGACACACAGAGACGCAGAATAAAAGGATGGAGGAAAATTTACCAAGCAAATAGAAAACAGAAAAAAGCAGGGGTTGCAATCCTAGTTTCTGACAAAATACACTTTAAAAAATCAAAAGACAAAGAAGGGCATTACATGATGGTAAAGGGCTCAAGTCAATAAGGAGAACTAACTATCATAAATATATATGCACCCAATAAAGGAGCATCCAGATTCATAAAGCAAGTTATTGAGAGACTTATAAAGAGACTTAGACTCCCACACAATAATAGTGGGCGACTTTAGAACTCCTGTGACAATATTATACAGATTATCAAGACAGACAATTAACAAAAACCTTCAGGACTTGAAGATTTTTGTATCAAGAGGACCTGATAGGTATCTTTGGAACTCTCCACCAAAAATCAACAGAATATGCATTCTTCTCATTGCTAGGCGGCATTTACTTTAAAATTGATCACGCAATTGGAAATAAAACACTCCTCAGCAAATGCAAAAAAAAAGAAAAACTGAAATCATAACAAACAGTCCTCTGACCACAGCACAATCAAATTAGAACTCAAGATTAAGATATTTACTCAAAACCACACAACTACACGGAAATTGAAGAAACTACTCCTGAATGACTCCTGGATAAATAATGAAATTAAGGCAGAAATCAAGAAGTTCTTTGAAACTAATGAAAACAAAGAGACAATGTACCAGAATCTCTGAGACTCAGCTAAAACAGTGTTGAGGGAAATTTATAGCACAAAATGTCCACATCAAAAAGTTAGAAAGATCTCTAATTAACAACCTAACATCACAACAGAAAGAACTAGAGAACCAAGGGCAAACAAACACAAAGCTATGAGAATACAGGAAATAACCAAAATCAGAGCTGAACTGAAGGATATAGAGACACAAAAAACCCTCAAAAAGTCAACAAAACCAGGGGCTGATTTTTAAAAAACAAAATTAATAAAATAGACAACTAGCTAGACAGAAGAGAGAAGAATCAAATAGACAATAGACACAATCAGAAATTATAAGGGGGATATCACCACTGATCCCACAAAAATAAAAACAACCACCAGAGAATAAACACCTCTATGCACATAAACTAGAATATCTAGAATAATGGATAAATTCCTGGAACATGCACCCTCCTGTGACAACCAGGAAGAAATTGAATCCCTGAATAGACCAATTGTGAGTTATGAAATTGAGGCAGTAATAGCCTACCAACCAAAAAAGCCCAGGACCAGATGGATTCACAGCTGAATTCTACCAGAGGTACAAAGAAGAGCTGGTACCATTCCTTCTGAAAATATTCCAAAAAATCGAAAAGGAGGGACTCCTCCCTAACTCATTTTATGATGCTAGATTCATCCTGATATCAAAACCTGACAGAGATGTAACAACAACAAATAACTCCAGTTCAGTATCCCTGTTGAACATCAACACAAAAATCCTCAGTAAAAACTGGCAAACTGAATTCAGCAGCACATCAAAAAGCTTATCCACCACAATCAAGTTGGTTTCATCCCCAGGATGTAAGGTTGGTTCAACATATGAAAATCAATAAATGTGATTCATCACATAGACAGAACTAAAGACAAAAACCACAATTATCTCAATAATGCAGAAAATTCAACATCACTTCATGTTAAAAATGCTCAATAAACTGGGTACTAAAGGAGCATGCCTCAAAATGTTAAGAAAATAATATGAGAAACCTACAGCCAATATCATACTGAATGGGCAAAAGCTGGAAGAATTCCCCTTGAAAACAGGCACAAGACAAAGATGCCCTCTCTCACCACTCCTATTCAGCATATAATTGGAATTTCTGGCCAGGGCAATCAGGCAAGAGAACAAAATAAAGGGTATTCAAATAGAGAAGTCAAATTTTCTTTCTTTGCAGATGACTTGATCTTATATCTAGAAAACCCCATTGTCTCAGCCCAAAAGCTTCTTAAGCTGATGCAACTTCAGCAAATCTCAGGATACAAAATCAATTTGCAAAGATTGCTAGCATTTCTATGCCCCAACAACAGGCAAGCGGAGAGGCAAATCATAAATGAACTCCCATTCACAATTGCTACAAAAAGAATAAAACACCTACGAATACAGCTAACAAGGGAAGTGAAGGACCTCTTCAAGGAGAACTACAAACCACTGCTCATGGAAATTAGGACACAAACAAATGGAAAAACGTCCCATGCTCATTGTTAGGAAGAATCGATATCATGAAAGTGGCCATACTGACCAAAGCAATTTATAGATTAAAGGGTATTCCCACTAAACTACCATTGACATTCTTCACAGAATTAGAAGAAACTATTTTAAAATTTATATAGAACCAAAAAATAGCCCAAATATCTAAGACAATCCTAAGCAAAAAGTACAAAGCTGGAGGCATCACACTACTTGACTTCAAACTATACTACAAGGCTACAGTAACCAAAACAGCTTGATACTTGTACGAAAACAGACACATAGACCAATGGAACAGAATAGAAACTCAGAAATAAGACTACACATCTACAACCATCTGATCTTTGACAAACCTGAGAAAAACAAGCAATGGGGAAAGGATTCCTTATTTAATAAAGGGTGCTGGGGAACTGGCTAGCCATATGCAGAAAATTGAAACTGGACCCCTTCCATACACCTTATACAAAAATTAACTCTAGATGGATTAAAGACTTAAATGTTAAACCCAAAACTATAAACACCCTAGAAGAAAATCTAGGCAATACCATTCAGGACATAGAAACAGGCAAAGATTTCAATGACAAAAATGACAAAAGCAGTTGCAACAAAAGCAAACAATTGACAAATGGGATCTAATTAAACTAAAGAGCTTCTTCACAGCAAAAGAAACTATCATCAGAGTGAACAGAGAGACTACAGAGTGGGAGAAAAATTTTTCAATCTATCCATCTGACAAAGGTCTAGTATTTACAATCTGCAAGGAACTTAAACAAATTTACAAGAAAACATTCAAAAGTTGTCAAAGGAGAAGAACAGACACTTCTCAAAAGAAGACATTTATGTAGCCAGAAATATAGGTAAAAAAGCTCAACATCACTGATCACTAGAGAAATGCAAATCAAAACCACAATGAGATACCATTTCACACCAGTTAGAATGGCAATTATTAAAAAGTCAAGAAACAACAAATGCTGGCAAGGCTGTGCATAAATAGGAACACTTTTACATTGTTGGTTGGAATGTAAATTTGTTCAACCATTATGGAAGACAGCGTGGTGTTTCCTCAGTGAACTAGAATGAGAAATACCATTTGACCCAGCAATCCCATTACTGGGTATATACCCAAGGGAATGTAAATAATTCTCTTATAAAGATACATGCGTACATATGTTCACTGCAGCACTATTTATAATAGCAAAGTCATGGAATCAACCCACATGCCCATCAATGATAGACTGGATAAAGAAAATGTGGTACATATATACCATGGAATACTATGCAGCCATGAAAAGGATGTTCTTTGCAGGGACATGGATATAGCTGGAAGCCATTATTTTTAGCAAACTAACTCAGGAACAGAAAGCCAGACACTGAGTATTCTCACGTATAAGGGAGCTGAACAATGAGAACCCATGGACACATGTCGGAGAACAACACACACTGGGCCCTGTTATGGGGATCAGGGGAGGCAGAGCCTCAGGATAAATAGCTAATGCATGCTGGGCTTAATACCTAAGTGACGTGTTAATCTGTGTAGCAAACCACCATGGCAGACGTTTACCTATGTAACAAACCTGCGCATCATGCATGTTTTTTTCTTGTAAAATTGTTTAAGTTCCTTGTAGATTCTGGATATTAACCCTTTGTCAGAAGGATAGATTCCAAAAATTTTCTCCCATTCTGTAGGTTGCCTGTTCACTCTGATGATAGTTTATTTTGCTATGCAAAAGCTCTTTAGTTTAATTAGATCCCATTTGTCAGTTTTGGCTTTTGTTGCCATTGCTTTTTGTGTTTTTGTCATGAAGTAGTTGCCCATGCCTATGTCCTGAATGATATTGCCTAGGTTTTCTTCTAGGGTTTTTATGGTTTTAGGTTTTACGTTTAAGTCTTTAATCCATCTTGAGTTAATTTTTGTGTAAGGTGTGAGGAAGGGATCCAGTTTCAGTTTTCTGCATATGGCTAGCCAGATTTTTTAATGCCATTTATTAAATAGGGAATCCTTTCCTCTTTGCTTGTTCTTGTCAGGATTGTCAAAAACCAGATGGTCGTAGATGTGTGGCATTATGTCTGAGGCCCCTGTTCTGTTTCGTTGGCCTATATATCTGTTTTGGTACCAGTACCATGCTGTTTTGGTTACTGTAGCCTTGTAGTATAGTTTGAAGTCAGGTAGCGTGATGCCTCCAGCTTTGTTCTTTTTGCTTAGGATTGTCTTGGCTATACAGGCTCTTTTTTGCTTCCATATGCAATTTAAAGTAATTTTTTCTAATTCTGTGAAGAAAGTCAATGGTAGCTTGATGGGAATAGCATTGAATCTATAAATTACTTTGGGCACTATGGCCATTTTCACGGTATTGATTCTTCCTATCCATGAGCATGGAATGTTTTTCCATTTGATTGTGTCCTCTCTTATTTCCTTGAGCAGTGGTTTATAGTTCTCCTTGAAGAGGTCCTTCACATCGCTTGTAAGTTCTATTCCTATGTATTTTATTCCCTTTGTAGCAAATGTGAATAGGAGTTCCCCCATTATTTGTCTCTCTTTTTGTCTGTTATTGGTGTATAGGAATGCTTGTGATTTTTGCACACTGATTTTGTATCCTGAGGCGTTGCTGAAGTTGCTTATCAGCTTAAGGAGATTTTTGGCTGAGATGATGGGGTTTTCTAAATATACAATAATGTCATCTGCAAACAGAAACAATTTGACTTCCTCTCCTCCTATTTGAATACCCTTTATTTCTTTCTCTTGCCTGATTGCCCTGGCCATAAATTCCAATACTGTGTTGAATAGGAGTGGTGAGAGAGGGCATTATTGTCTTGTGCCGGTTTTCAAAGGGAATGCTTCCAGCTTTTGCCCATTCAGTATGATATTGGCTATGGGTTCCTCATAAATAGCTCTTACTATTTTGAAATATGTTCCATCAATACCTAGTTTATTGAGAGTTTTTAGCATGAACGGGTGTTGAATTTTGTTGAAGGCCTTTTCTGGATCTGTTAAGATAATCATGTGGTTTTTGTCATTGGTTCTGTTTATGTGATGGATTACATTTATTGATTGGCATATGTTGAACCAACCTTACATCCCAGGGATGAAGCTGTCTTTTTCGTGGTGGATAAGCTTTTTGATGTGCTGCTGGATTTGGTTTGCCAGTATTTATTGAGGATTTTTGCATCTGTGTTCATCTGGGATATGTTGTTGTTTCTCTGGAAGGTTTGCTCTCAGGATGATACTGGCCTCATAAAAAGATTAGGGAGGAGTCCCTATTTTTCTATTATTTGGAACAGTTTCAGAAGGAATGGCAGCAGCTCCTCTTTGCATCTCTGGTAGAAGTTGGCTGTGAATTTGTCTTGTCCTGGACTTTTTTTGGTTGGTAGGCTATAATTACTGCCTCGAGTTTAGAATTTGTTATTGGTATATTCAGGCATTCGACTTCTTCATGGTTTCATCTTGGGAGGGTGTATGTTTCCAGGAATTTCTCTATTTCTTCTAGATTTTCTAGTTTATTTGTGTAGAGTTGTTTATAGTATTCTCTGATGGTTGTTTGTATTTCTGTGAGATCAATGATTATATCCCCTTTGTCATTTTTTATTGTGTCTATTTGATTCTTCTCTCTTTTCCTCTTTAATAGTGTGGCTAGCAGTCTATTTTGTTATTCTTTTCAAAAAACCAGCTCCTGGATTCATTGATTTTTTGAAGGGTTTTCGTGTCTCTGTCTCCTTCAGTTCTGCTCTTAGTTATTTCTTGTCTTCTGCTAGCTTTTGAATCTGTTTGCTCTTGTTTCTCTAGTTCTTTTAATTGTGATGTTAGATTGTCGATTTTAGATATTTCCTGCTTTCTCCTGTGGGCATTTAGTGCTATAAATTTCCCTGTAAACACTGCTTTAGCTGTATCCCAGAGATTCTGGTACATTGTGTATTTGTTCTCATTCATTTCAAAGAACTTCTTTATTTCTGCCTTAATTTCATTATTTACCCAGTAGCCATTCGGGAGCACGTTTTTCCCTTTCCATGTAGTTGTGTGGTTTTGAGTGAGTTCCTTAATCCTGAGTTCCAGTTTGATTGCACTGTTTTCCTAGAGACTGTTTGTTATGATTTCCATTCTTTTGCATTTGCTAAGGAGTGTTTTACTTTCAATTATGTGGTCAATTTTAGAATAAGTGTGATGTGGTGGTGAGAAGAATGTATATTCTGTTAATTTGGGGTGGAGAGTTCTGTAGATATCTATTAGGTCCGCTTGGTCCAGAGCTGAGTTCAAGTCCTGAATATCCTTGTTAATTTTCTGTCGTGTTGATCTAATATTGACAGTGGGGTGTTAAAGTCTCCCACTATTATTGTGTGGGAGTCTAAGTCTCTTTGTAGGTTTCTAAGAACTTGCTTTATGAATCTGGGTGCTCCTGTATTGAGTGCATATATATCTAGGATGGTTAGCTCTTTTTGTTGCATTGATCCCTTTACCATTCCCTTTACATCTTTGATGTCGGTGACCTTCGGATGGGGTTTTTGTCTGGACATCCTTTTTGTTGATGTTGATGCTATTCCTTTCTGTTTGTTAGTTTTCCTTCTAACACTCAGGCCCCTCTGCTGCAGGTCTGCCTGAGTTTGCTGGAGGTCCACTCCAGACCTTGTTTGCCTGGGTATCACCAGCAGAGGCTGCAGAACAGCAAAGATTGCTGCCTGTTCCTTTCTCTGGAAGCTTCATCCCAGAGGGGCACCTGCCAGATGCCAGCCAGAGCTCTCCTGTATGAGGTGTTAGGGGCACCTGCCAGATGCCAGCCAGAGCTCTCCTGTATGAGGTGTTTGTTGACCCCTGCTGAGAGGTGTCTCCCAGTCTGGAGGCACGGGGGCCAGGGACCTACTTGAGGAGGCAGTCTGTCCCTTAGTAGAGCTCGAGCGCTGCGCTGGGAGATCCACTGCTCTCTTCAGAGTAGGCAGGTAGGAACGTTTAAGTCTGCTGAAGCTGCATCCACAGCTGCCCCTTCCTCCAGGTGCTCTGTCCCAGGGAGATGGAGTTTTATCTATAAGCCCCTGACTGTGGCTGCTGCCTTTCTTTCAGAGATGCTCTGCTTAGAGAGGAGGAATCTAGAGAGGCAGTCTGGCTGCAGCAGCTTTGCCAAGCTGCAGTGGGCTCTGCCCAGTTTCACTTTCCGGGTGGCTTTGTTTACGCTGTCAGGGGAAAACTGCCTACTCAAGCCTCAATGATGGTGGACGCCCCTCCCCCCACCAAGCTCAAGTGTCCAAGTTTGACTTCAGACTGCTGTGCTGGCAGCGAGAATTTCAAGCCAGTGGATCTTAGCTTGCTGGGCTCTGTGGGGGTGGGATCTGCTGAGCTAGACCTCTTGGCTTCCTGGCTTCAGCCCCCTTTCCAGGGGAGTGAATAGTTCTGTCTTGCTGGCGTTCCAGGCATCACTGAGGTATGAAAAAGAAAAAAAAAAAAACTGCAGCTAGCTCAGTGTCTGCCCAAAAACGGCTGCCCAGTTTTGTGCTTGAAACCTAGGGCCCTGGTGGTTTAGGCACTCAAGGGAATCTCCTGGTCTGTGGGTTGCAAAGACGGTGGGAAAATTATAGTATCTGGTCTGGAATGCATCGTTTCTTATGGCTCAGTCCCTCACGGCTTCTCTTGGATAGGGGAGGGAGTTCCCTGACCCCTTGCGCTTCCTGAGTGAGGCGATGCCCCACCCTCCTTCAGCTCGCCCTCTGTGGGCTGTACCCACTGTCTAACCAGTCCCAATGAGATCAACTACGGGTACCTCAGTTGGAAATGCAGAAATCACCCACCTTTTGTGTTGATCTAGCTGGGAGCTGCAGACTGGAGCTGTTCCCATTCGGCCATCTTATCAGCCCTCAAGAACTTATATGCTAGACTGTTGAGTTTTTTTATTTTTTTTTAAGCAACTATAGTGGGGTAGAATTGATAACAAATGAAATGCATGTATAGTATATAGTGTTATGACATATATACACACCCATGAAACCATCATGAAAATCAAGATAATGAACATATCCATTACCACTAAACATTTCCTCATGCTGTTTTGTAATTCCCTCCCTCCTGCCCTATATCTTCAATTTATAATCTTCCACCCACCTCATTCTCTGGCACACACAGTTGTGCTGTCTGCCACTACGGGTTTGTATATTTTTTTAAATGTTTATAAATTAAATCATAAGTCTGCAGTCTTTTGATCTCTTTTATTTAATAATAATTTTGAGATTTATCTATGTTGTTGAAGTACAGCAATAGTTAATTCTATTTTATTGCTGGATAATATTTCTTTTTATGGATACATCATTGTTCATCTGTTCACCTGTTGATGGACATTTGTGTTGTTTTGTGTTGTTAACCAATAAAGCTGCTATGAATATCTATGTGCCAGTGGTTTTATGTGTGTATATCTTTTTTTTTTGTATAAATACCTATGAGCAGAATGATTGAGTCATGTGTTTAATGTTTTAAGAAACCACTCAATTGTTTTACAAATTATCTGAGCTATTTTACATTTTCACCATTAGCATATGAAAATTTTAGTTCTTCCACATCTTTGGCAACACTGGATATGATCCTTTTTAAAAAAATTAGCTATTTTAAAAGGTGTGTGATACTATTTGAAAGTAGTTTTAATTCGCATTTCCCTAGTGACTAATGATGTTCAGCATTTTTCATGTGTTTATTTGCCATCCATTTATCTTTTACCTTTCCCTTTTTCACTGGGTTTTTGAGTGTTAAATGCAAGTTCTCTGTCAGATCTATGCTTTGCAATTATTTTCTTTTTATGGATTGTCTCTTAATTCTCTTAAGTGTCTTTCAAAGAAGTCATTTCTAATTTGATAAAGATTATTCTTTTTCTTTCGTATATCATGTTTTTGATATTAGAGCTAATAAACTTTTGCCTTATGCAAGATTTCAAATACAGAGGTTTCCCAACTTATGATGGTTTGACTGACTGATGATTTTTTGACTTAGGATAGAGTGAAATCAATATACATTCAATAGAAACTCTACTTTGAACCTTTGAATTGTTATCTTTTCCTGGGCTAGCAATGTGCAGTAAAATACTCTTTGGCAATGCTAGGTAGTTGCAGCCAGCCACAGCTCCCAGTCAGCTATGTGATCATGAGGGTTAACAATCAGTAGTCTGTATTTTTCAAGGTGTAACCCCTTAATAAATCAGAGCATCTGTATTTTCCCCTGTGTTTTCTTTTAGAAGTTGTATCATTTTAGGTTTTATCTTTAGGTCAATGTTCTTTTTTGATTCAACATATATATATATGGTACAACATATGGTCAAAGTTCATTTTTACATGTGAATATGCAGTTGTTCCAGTACCACTTTTTGAAAATAATATCCTTTCTTCACCAAATTGCATTTGTATTTATATCAATTGTCCAAATATCCATGGTTCTGTTTCTACACTTCCTATTCTGTTTCACTGATCTACTTGTCTGTCTTTACACTATTACCATACTATCTTCGTTACTGTTGCTTTATAATTAAATTTTGAAATCAGGTACCATGAGTGTTTCGACTTTTTTCTTTTTCAGAGTTTTTTGAGTTTTTTTGTTGTTGTTTTGCTATTTTGGGTGCTTTGCATTGCCATATGAATTTTATAATCAGCTTCTCAATTTCTATCAGAAAAAGAAGCCTGCTAGGATTTTGAATGAGATGGTGATGGAGCTATAGATCAATTTGGGAAGAATTGACATTTTAACAGCATTGACTTTTCTTATCTATAAACACAGTATCTCTTTCCAGTTAGGTCTTTACTTTCTCTCAACAATGTTTTATACGTTTAAATATACAGGTCTTAAACATCTTTTATCATATCTTTTCCCCAAATATTTTGTTTTTAATATTAATGGCATTAAAATTTTATTTTCTTTTGTTGCTAGTATGCAGAAATGTGATTATATTGATCTTGTATGTTAGAAGCTTGCTAACCTCACTTATGAATTCTAGTAGCTTTTTTCTAGATTCTATCAGTTTTTCTACATAGATGGTAATAGTTTTTATAAGGACGTTTTAGTGCTTGATTTCTAATATGGATGTCTTTTTTCTTAATTTTCAATGGCTAGAACTTCCAGTATAGTGTTGTAGAAGTGGAAAGAATGCACATTCTTGTTTTGTTCCTGATCTTGAGTGTAAGCATTTATTTTTCACCATTAAGGATGATGTTAGCTGTGGGTTTTATATGGATGCTTCTAATTAGGTAAAAGTTCCATTTTGTTTCTGGTTTGATGAAAATTTGTATTGGAGATGAATGTTGGATTTTGTCTAAGCCTTTTCCTATGTCTGCTGTGATAATCACATGATTTTCTTTATTGTTGTTACATTGATATACATTTGAATTACGTTTATTTTCAAATGCTAAGCCAACCTTCTATTCCCAGGTTAAGTACCACTCGATCATAATAGACTATATATAGCTAAATTTGATTTGCTAAAATTTTCCTTACAATTTTTGCATCTGTGTTCATGAGGGATGTGGATGTACTATTTTATTGTAAGTATCTTTGTCTGATTTTGATATTGGTGTAATAGTGGTCTTAAATGAGTTGAGAAACATTCCCTCCTCTTCAAATTTCTGAAAAAAGTTATTTAGAATTAGAATTTCTTATTCTTAAATGTTTGTTGGGATTCATCAGTGAAGCCATCTGGACCTACAGTTTTCTTTGTTGGAAATATTTAACTATAAATTCAATTTCTTAAAAAGGTATATGGCTATTTCGGTTAGTTGTTTCTTCTTGAGTGAGCACTGGCATTTTTTTATTTCAAAGAATTTGTCCATTGTCAAACACATTGGCACAAGGTTTTTCTTATAATATTTTCTCACTAACTGGTTAATATCTGCTATTAACCACTGTAATCTATACTGATGTCTATTTTCTCATTTCAGCTATCATGGATTTGTGTATTTCTCTTTGCAGTTATAATGGTTTTTGCTTCATGTATTTTGACGCTTTGTTTTTACATGAATAAACATTTATAATTTTCTTCTCTTGATTACTTATCCCCTCTGTTATGAAATGACCTTCTTTATGACGTGTAATATTTGCCATTATTTTTGAAAGATATGTTCACACAATATAAAATTATTGGTTGACTTTTTTTCAGTATGTTAAATATGTTGCTCCATAGTCTTCCCATTTGAATTTTTTTTTTCTGACAGGAAATCTGTTGTTATCCTTGTTTCACATGTAACATGTCCTTTTTTCTCTAGCTACTTTTAAGGTTTTCTCTGTGTCTTGGGTTTTGAGTGATTTGGGTTTGATGTGCCTTGATGAAATTTTCTTGATTTTTCTTGTACTTGGGTTTTATTGACCTTATTGTATCTGTGAATTTATGGTTTTCATCAAATTTGGACATTTGGGGGCCATTATTTATTTAAATATTCTTTTCTGCTCCCAATTTTCTTCTGGGACTTCAACTGCATATATATATTAGACCATGTGAAGTTGTCTCACAGCTCACTCAAACTGCTCTTTTGTTGTTCTATACTCTCGTGTTTCTTTTTGGAAAGTATCTATTGTGTATATTTGATTTAGTTTCATTATTTATTATCTCACAGTTTTTATCTCTAGAAGTTTGATTTGAGGTTGTTTGTTTGTTTGTTTGTTTGTTTGTTTTGCGACGGAGTCTCGCTCTGTCTCCCAGGCTGGAGTGCAGTGGCGCAATCTTGGCTCACTGCAATCTCCGCCTCCCAGGTTCAAGTAATTCTCCTGCCTCAACCTCCTGAGTAGCTAGGATTCAGGGGTGCACCACCACGCCCAGCTAATTTTTGTATATTTAGTAGAGACGGGGTTTCACAATGTTGGCCAGGCTGGTCTCGAGCTCCTGACCTCATGATCCACCCGCCTTGGCCTCCCAAAGTGCTGCGATTACAGGCGTGAGCCACCATGCCCGGCCTTGAGTCTTTTTTTATATCTTCTCTATCTCTACTTAATTTCTGAACATCAGGAATACAATTATAATAACTATTTAACATCCTTGTCTGCTAATTCTGACATCTGTGTCAGTTCTGGGTCAGTTTTGATTGATTCTTTTCTTTCTCCTCATTTTTGTGCTTTTTGCCTGCCCACTAATTTTTGAGAAGATACCAAATACGGTGAATTTTACCTTGGTGGGTGCTAGATACTTTTAAATTCCTATAAGTATTCTATTTTCTTAATGTCAAATTTGTTTTTCTTAAGATTTATTTTTAATTAACACATAAAAATTGTACATATTTATGAGGTATAGTGTGATGTTTCAATACATGTGTATATTGTATGATGTTCAAATCAGGATAATTAACTTATCCATCACCTTAAACATTTAGCATTTCTTTGTGATGAAAACATTCAAAATCCTCTTTTTTAGCTGTTTTGAAATGTATAATACAGTATCGTTATTTATATTTACTCTACTCTGCAACAGAGCACCAGAACTTACTTCTCCTATCTGTCTATAATTTTGTACCCATTTGCTAATCTCTCCCCATCCCTCCCTCAACCCTAACCTCCTCATTCCCTAGTAACCACTGTTCTACTCTGTACCTCTATGAGATCAGCTTTTGTAAATTCCACAAATGAGTGGATCAGGTGGTATTTGTATTTCTGTGTCTGGCTTATTTTCTTTAACATAATGTCTTCCAGGTTTATCTATGGTGCCACAAATGACAGCATTTCTTTTGGCCAATAGTATTCCATTGTTTATATTTACCGCATTTTATAATCCACTATCTGTTGGTGAACACATAGGTTGCTTTTATATCTTGTCTATTGTGAATCGTGCTGCAGTAAATATAGGAGTGCAGATATCTTTTCAATATACTGTTCTCATTTTGTTTGGGTAAATAGCCAGTAGTGGGACTGCTGGATCATATGTTAGTACTGTTTTTAATTTTTTGAGGAAATGCCATGCAGTTTTCCATAGTGGCTGTACTAGTTTACATTCCCACCAATAGTATAGCGCATTTCCCATTTCTTTACATCCATGGCAGCATTTGTCATTTTTGTACTAGCCATTCTAATTGGGGTGAGATAATATCCCATTATGGTTTTGATTTGTATTTCTGTGATAATTAGTGATATTGAGCATTTTTCCATATACCTATTGGATATTTGTATTTATTCTTTTGAAAAAAAAAAGTCTATTTAGATTTTTTGACCACTTTTTAATCAAATTATGTATTTTTTTGCTATTATGTTGTTTGAATGTTTTATATATTCTGGATATTAATCCCTTTTCAGATATGTACTTTGCAAATATTTTCTACTATTCTGTAGATTGTTTCTTTCCTCTGTTGATTATTTCCTTTCTTGGGCAGTAACTTTTTAGTTTGAGGTAATCCCATTTGTCTATTTTTGCTTTTCTTGCCTGTATTTTTGAATTCTTGCCCAAAAATTCTTATCCAAACCAACGTCATGAAGCATTTCCCCCATGTTTTCTTCTAGTAGTTTTATAGTTTCAGGTCTTACATTTAAGTATTCAATCCATTTTGTGTTGATTTTTATATATGGTAAGAGATGTTGGTCTAGTTTTATTCTTCTGCATATAGATGTCCAGTTTTATTGGCACTATCTATTGAAGAGACCATCCTTTACCCAATGTGTGTTCCTGCTGCCTTTATTGAAAATCAGTTGGTTGTAAGAGCATCAATACATTTCTGTGTTGTCTGTTCTGTTCCATTGGTCTATATGTTTATTTTTATGCTGACTCCATCCTGTTTTGGTTACTATAGCTTTATAGAATACTTTGAAGTCAGTGTTATGCCTCCAGCTTTGTTCTTTTTGCTCAAAATGACTTTGGCTATTTGGAGTCTTTCGTGCTTCCATACGAATTTTATAATTTTTTCTATGTCTGTGAAGAATGCCATTGATACCTTGATAGAGATTGCATTGAATCTGTAGATTGGGTAGTATAGACATATCAACAATATTAATTATTGCTATTCATGAAAATGGAATATTTTTCCATTTATTTGTATCCTCTTCAGTTTCTTCCATCAGTGTTTTATAGTTTTCATTGTAGAGATCATTCACATCCTTGGTTAAATTTATTCCTCTCTATTTTTTTGCAGCTCCTAAATGGAATTGCTTTCTCAATTTCTTTTTCAGACTGTTCACTCTTGTCATATAGAAATGCTAGTGATTTGTGTATGTTGCTTTTGTATCCTGCAACTTTACTGCACTTTGTTTATTCTAACAATTTTTGGTGGCATCTTTAGTGTTTTCTATAAATAAGATAATGTCATCTGCAAATAGTAACAGTATTATTTCCTTCTTTCCAATTTGCATGCCCCTTATTTCTTTTGCCCAATTGTTCTGGCTAGGACTTCCAGAACTATGCTGAATAAAAGTGGTAAAAGTGGACATATTTGTCTTATTCCATATCATACAGGAAAAGCTTTCAACCTTCCCCTATTCAGTATGATATTAGTTGTGGGTTTGTCATACGTGACCTTTATTAAGTTGAGGTATGTTTCTTCTATACCTAATTTGTTTAATGTTTTTTATCATTAATGGATGTTGAATTTTATCAAATGCTTTTTCTGCATTTTAAATTTATCATATGGCGTCTGTCCTTGATTCTGTTGATGTGATGTATTATGTGTTAATTTGCATGTGTTGAACCATCCTTTTATTCCTGAGATAAATTATACTTGATTATGTTAAATGATGTTTTTAATGTGCTGTTGAACTCAGTTTGCTGGGGATTTTTGCATCTATGTTCTTTAAGGCTATTGGCCTATAGTTTTTGTTGTTGTGTTCTTGTCTGGTTAGAACAGTTGGGTTATTCTGGCTTCATACAATGAGTTTGGCAGGATTCTATCCTCTTTAATCCTTTGGAATTGTTTGAAAAGGATTGGTATTTGCTCTTAAGAATTCAGCAGTGAAGGCATCAGATGATGGGATTTTCATTGATGGGAGACTTTTTGTAACTGATTTAATCCTGTTACTTTCTATTGGTCTGTTCAGATTTTCTATTTTGTCCATTCAATTTTGGTAGATTTTATATATCCAGGAACGTATCAATTTCTTCTAGGTGTTCCAATTTGTTGGCATATAGTTGTTTGTAATAGTCTCATAGTTCTTTCTATATCTGTGGTATCAGTTGTAATGTCTTCTTTTCCATTGGATTTTATTTATTTCAATCATCTCTCTTTTATCTTAGTCCCATTAAAGGTTTGTCAATTGTGTTTATCTTTTCATAAAACCAACTCTTTTTCATTTATCATTTTTTTTATTCTCTATTTTGTTTATTTCTTCTCTGATGTTTATTATTTATTTTCTTCTAATTTTAGGTTTAGTTTGCTCTTCATTTTCCTATAAGTATGCTTGAACTTTATTCTGGGCAGCAGTTAAGTTACTGGAAACAGTTTCATACTTTTGGGTCCTCCTTTTAAATTTTTTTAGGCAGGACCAGACTAGTGTTTAGTCTAGGGCTACTCACTATTTAGGCAAGGTGCTTCTAAATACTCTGTAATATACTTCATCAATTATGATGTTTTCCATTTTGGCGGGTGGAAACAGGCAATACACCCCACCTGTGTGAGTCCTGATTTTCATCCAGTGCTTTCAGATAGTTCTTTCCAAGGTCTTGGGTTGTTTCCCCACGTCTTTATCAGTAGTAATCTGCTAGATAATTTAGTGAGACCTTTTATAGAGCCTTGTAATTCTCTCTCTCTGCTCCTCACACCCCTCTCATACCCTGTCCTGCTAACTATGTCTGCCTTGGTCTCCCCTGAGTCTCAGTTCTATCTCCTCAGTTCAAACCCACAAGGCTTCACCTGAGTTTCCCTTACCTGCACAGCAGCTAGAAAACTCTCTCAGGTTGGTAAGCTGAAGCAATCACAATGCTAACCTGATTGTTTCCCACTATTAGGAATCACTTTCCTTTATTGCCTAACATCTGATATCCTGAAAACTGTTGACATATTATATATTTTATGTTTTTTTTTAATTGGTTGTTTCGGGCAGATAGGTACATCCAGTCCTTGGTATTTCATCTTGACCAGAAGAAGAAATCCTTGGACTATTGAAATTTTTTCATTTTTCCAATAACCATTTAGGTTTGTTTCATTGAAATCATTGTTATCTTCTTTTTAGTATTAATTGTCCATTTATTTTTGCACATGTTTCCCCAGTATGGCTTTTGATTGGTTGCCCTAGTCCCTTACATGGTTTCAACCAATTACGTTATTCTTCAGAATCTGATAGTACTACTTAGAGTCTTTAGTTTCACTGCTTCTGTGATTGATGAAACGTTTGCATACGATGATTTTGTTTCTATATTAGAACAGTTTTTTTTTGGTTAATTTTACTTTAAGTTCTGGAATACTTGTGCAGAACGTGCAGGTTTGTTATATAGGTATACATGTGCCATGGTGGTTTGCTGCACCTAGCAACCCGTCATTCAGTTTTTAAGCCCCGCAAGCATTAGGTATCTGTCCTAATGCTCTCCCTCCCCTTCTCCCTAACCCCCGACAGGCCGCAGTTTTTAATGTTCCCCTCCCTGTATCCATGTGTTCTCATTGTTTAACTCCCACTTATGAGTGAGAATACCTGGTGTTTTGTTTTCTGTTCCTGCGTTAGTTTGCTGACAATGATGGTTTCCATCTTCATCCATGTGCCTGCAAAGGACATGATGGCTGCATAATATTCCATGTTGTATATGTGCCATTTATTCTTCATCCAGTCTGTCATCGATGGGCATTTGGGTTGGTTCCAAGTCTGTGCTATTGTAAATAGCGCTGCAATAAACATAAATGTGCATGTGTCTTTATACAAGAATGATTTATAATATTTGGGTATATACCCAGTAATGGGATTGCTGGGTCAAATGGTATTTCTGGTTCTAGATCCTTGAGGAATTGCCACACTGTCTTCCACAATGGTTGAACTAATTTACACTCCCACCAACAGTGTAAAAGCATTCCTATTTCTCCACATCCTCGCCAGCATCTGTTGTTTCCTGACTTTTTAATGATCACCACTCTAACTGGCATGAGATGTTATCTCATTGTGTTTTCAATTTGCATTTCTCTAATGAGCAGTGATGATGAGCTTTTTTTCATATGTTTTTGGCCGTATAAATGTTTTCTTTTGAGAAGTGTCTGTTCATATCCTTTGCCCACTTTTTGATGGAGTTGTTTCTTTCTTCTAAATTTGTTTAAGTTTCTTGTAGATTGTGGATATTAGACCTTTGTCAGATGGATAGATTGCAAAAATTTTCTCCCCTTCTGTAGGTTGCCTGTTCACTCCAATGATAGTTTCTTTTGCTGTGCAGAAGCTCTTTAGTTTAATTAGATCCCATTTGTCCAATTTGGCTTCTGTTGCAAGTGCTTTTGGTGTTTTAGTCATAAAGTCTTTGCCCATTCCTGTGTCCTTAATGGTATAATCCAGGTTTTCTTGTAGGGCTTTTATGGTTTTAGGTTTTATATTTAAGTCTTTAATCCACCTTGAGTTAATTTTTATATAAGGTGTGAGGAAAGGGTCCAGTTTCAGCTTTCTACATATAGCTAGCCAGTTTTCCCAGCACCATTTATTAAATAGGGGATCCTTTCCCCATTGCTTGTTTGTGTCAGGTTTGTCGAAGATCAAATGGTTGTAGATGTTTGGTGTTATTGCTGAGGCCTCTGTTCTGTTCCATCGGTCTATATATTGGTTTTGGTACCAGCACCATGCTGTTTCGGTTACTGTAGCCTTGTAGTATAGTTTGAAGTCAGGTAGCATGATGCCTCCAGATTTATTCTTTATGCTTATGATTGTTTTGGCTATATGGGCTCTTTTTTGGTTCCATATGAAACTTAAATTAGCATTTTCTAATTCTGCAAAGAAAGTCAGTGGTAGCTTGATGGGGATAACATTGAATCTATAAATTACTTTGGGCACTATGGCCATTTTCACGATATTGACTCTTCCTATCCATGAGCATGGAATGTTTTTCCATTTGTTTGTGTCCTCTCATTTCTTTGAGCAGTGGTTTGTGGCTCTCCTTGAAGAGGTCCTTCATGTCCCTTGTTAAGTTGTATTCCTTTATTCTCTTTATAGCAATTGTGAATGGGAATTTAACTATGATTTGGCTCTCTGCTTGTGTATTATTGGTGTGTAGGAATATTTGTGATTTTTGCACATTGGTTTTGTATCCTGAGACTTTGCTGAAGTTGCTTATCAGCATAAATAGTTTTTAGGCTGAGACGATAGGGTTTTCTGAATATACAATTATGTCATCTGTGAACAGAGACAATTTGACTTCCTCTCTTCCTATTTGAATACCTTTATTTCTTTTTCTTGCCTGATTGCCCTGGCTGGAACTTCCAATACTATGATGAATAGGAATGGTGAGAGAGGGCATCCTTGTCTTGTGCTGGTATTCAATGGGAATGCTTCCAGCTTTTGCCCATTCAGTATGATATTGGCTATGGGTTTGTCATAAATAGCTCTATTTTGAGATATGTTTCATCAATACCTAGTTTATGGCGGTTTTTAGCATGAAGTAGTGTTGAATTTTATTGAAGGCCTTTTCTGCGTCTATTGAGATAATCGTGGTTTTTGTCATTGGTTCTGTTTATGGAAAGCATTTAGCCCATTTACATTGAAAATTAATATTGTTACGTGTGAATTTGATCGTGTCATCATGATGCTAGCTGGTTATTTTATACATTAGTTGTTGTAGTTTCCTCATATTGTCATTGGTCTTTATATTTTGATGTTTTTGCAGTGGCTGGTACCAGTTTTTCCTTTCCATATTTAATGCTTCCTACAGGAGCTCTTATAAGCAGACCTGGTGGTGACAAAAATCTCACAGCATTTGCTTGTCTGGAAAGGATTTTATTTCTCCTTTGCTTATGAAGTTTAGTTTGGCTGTATATGAAATTCTGGGTTGAAAATTCTTTTCTTTAAGAATGTTGAATATTGACCCTCACTGTCTTCAGGCTTGTAGGGTTTCTGCAGAGAGATCTACTGTTAGTCTGATGAGCTTCCCTTTGTAGGTTAACCCGACCTTTCTCTCTGGCTGCCCTTAACATTTTTTCCTTTGTTTCAAACTTGGAGTATCTGATGATTATGTGTCCTGGGATTGCTCTTCTCAAGGAGTATCTTAGTGGTGTTCTCTGTATTTCCTGAATTTGAATGTTGGCATGTCTTGCTAGGTTGGGGAAGTTCTCCTGGATGATATCTTGAATTGTGTTTTCCAACTTGGTTCCATTCTCCCCATCACTTTCAGGTACATCAGTCAATCGTAGATTTGATTCACATAGACCCACATTTTATTGGAGGCTTTGTTCGTTCCTTTTAATTATTTTTTCTCTAATCTTCATGTTTTGTTTCATTAATTTGATCTTCAATCTCTGATATCATTTCTTCTACTTGATCAATTCAACTATCCATACTTGGGTATGCTTCACGAAGTTCTCTTGCTGTTTTTCAGCTCCATCAGGTCATTTATGTTCCTCTCTAAACTGGTTATTCTAGTTAGCAGTTCCTTTAACCTTTTATCAAGTTTCTTGCCTTCCTTGGATTGGGTTAGAACATGCTCCTTTAGCTCAGAGGAGTTTGTTATTACCCACCTTCTGAAGCCTACTTCTGTCAATTCGTCAATATCATTCTCTGTCCAGTTTTATGCCCTTGCTGGAGAGGAGTTGCGATCATTTGGGGGAAAATAGGCATTCTATTTTTTGGAATTTTCAGCGTTTTTGTGCTGGTTTTTCCTCATTTTTGTGGATTTATCTGCCTTCGATGTTAGAGGCTAATGACTTTTATATGGAGTTTTTGTGTGGGAGTTATTTTTGTTGATGTTGAAGTTGTTGCTTTCTGTGTGTTAGTTTTTCTTCTAACAGTCTGGCCCCTATTCTGCAAGTCTGCTGCAGCTTTCTGGAGGTCCACTCCAGCCCCTGTTCACCTTGGTATCACCAGTGGAGGCTGCAGAACAGCAAAGATTGCTTCCTACTCCTTCCTGTGGAAGCTCCGTCCCAGAGCGGCACCAGCCTGATGCCAGCTGGTGCTCTCCTGTATGGTGTGTCTGTTGACCCCTGTTGGGAGGTCTCTCCCAGTCAAGAGGCACAGGGGTCAGGGACCCACTTTAGGAGGCAGTCTGTCCCTTAGCAGAGCTAGAGCACTGTGCTGGGAGAATCGTTGTCAGGATCAGCTGCTCTCTTCAGAGCTGGCGGGCAGGAAAGTTTAAGTCTGCTGAAGCTGCGCCCACAGTTGCCCCTTCCCCGAGGTGCTCTGTCCCAGGGAAATGGGGTTTTATCTATAAGCCCCTGACTGGGGCTGCTGCCTTTCAGACACGCCCTGCCCAGAGAGAAGGAATCTAGAGAGGCAGTCTGGTCACAGCCGCTTTGCTGCGCCATGGTAAATTCTGCCCAGTCCAAACCTCCCGGCCCCCTTAGCATTGTCAGGGGAAGACCGCCTACTCAAGCCTCAGTAATGGTGGACACCCCCCCGCCCCCGCCGCCACCAAGTTCAGTTGTCGCAGTTTGACTTCAGACTGCTGTGTTGGCAGTGAGAATTTCAAGCCAGTGGTTCTTAGCTTGCTGGACTCCGTGGGAGTGGGACCCACTGAGCAAGACCACTTGGCTCCCTGGCTTCGGCCTCACTTCCAGAGGAGTGAATGGTTCTGTCTCGCTGGGATTCCAGGCACCACTGGGTTACGAAAAAAAAAAAAAAAACTGCAGCTAGCTCACTGTCTGCCCAAATTGTCTCCCAGTTTTATCCTTGAAACCCAGGACCCTGGTGGTGTAGGCACACCAGGGAATCTCCTGATTTGTGGATTGCAAAAACCATGGGAAAAGTGTAGTATCTGGGCTGGGTAGCACAGTCCCTCACAGCTTTGCTTGGCTGAGGGAGAGAGGTCCCCTGGCTCCTTGCACTTCTCATGTTGGGCGATGCCCCACCCTACTTCTGCTCACCCTCCGTGAGTTGGACCCACTGGCTAACCAGTCCCAGTGAGACGAACTGGGTACCTCAGTTGTAAATGGAGAAATCACCCACCTTCTGCTTTGGTCTCACTGGGAGCTGCTGACCGGAGCTGTTATTCGGCCATCTTGCCAGATTCTCCGAAAATGCTTATTAAGGAGTTTACTTCTCATTTCTCTAAAAGATACTTGGGAGAGACAGTTTATTTAAAAGTATTACATCTCTTAATATATTGAAAACTTTTCCTGTGAGGTTATATTAAATTTACAACTTTTTTAATTGCAACAGAGATAACATAAGCAAACGTACACTTACTTTGATGAAAAACTTAAAATGCACTGGGGACTACTATGATAGAAGCCACTTGCTAACATTGGATTTATGGTTTGCTTTCTTAATATGTTATATAGTAAGCCACCATTTATTGAATGGATTAACTACATGGGACCCTCCCTTCTATGTTTTATCTGTGTACACATACCCTTACACCTTGGGGCCCAGCTTAACAGCAAAGTTCAATAGCTCCTGTCTCCTGCTGAACATTTAGCATATTCCAGGATAACTTCTGCCATTTTACATTTTCCTCCTCCGTCACTAATCACACATCCAATTCCACAGATTTGGCATCTTCCGATTTAAAAGTGGTGTATAAGGATTTAGTATATATTGAAAAATATCTCTCAAGATTCTCTTGAGAGTTAACTGTGTAGAGTATAGATTTTACTTTGCATAAATGTAGGTGAAATAAACAGATTGCAAGGCTATTGATGCTGTCACATTTTCAGCAAATGTAAAATTATGTATGTATACATGTATATATATATACACACACATTTTTTTTAATTTAGGATTTGCTTTCCCATATGCTTCATATGGACCCACATCAGCGGTATACTGCTGAACAAATATTAAAGCACTCATGGATAACTCACAGAGACCAGTTGCCAAATGATCAGCCAAAGAGAAATGATGTGTCACATGTTGTTAAGGTAAAACAAACATACTTTTATGTGCCTTCGAGATATCAGATACCTAATAAACCCATTGTGTGCCACTTGCTGATGACACTTAAATAATTCCTTAAAATATCTTTATTTTTTAAAGATAGATTTTTTTAAATTAACAACCATGTACTTTTCTTAGCTTACTTTACTACTGCCTTTCAGATGAAACAATAAAAATTTCTTGATTGTACCTGCCGTGCTTTTGAGAGATGCTGGAATTAGGATTGGGCTAAATGCAAGTTTCATATTGAAATAAAAGATTGCTGTTAGTTCTTAATTTATAACTGTTCGTGAAACCATTCCTATATCCATATACATTGAATCAAGGTTTTAAATGTTAGTGTTTTAACAATTTTTTGTAAAAAGCATAGTTATTGAAATGAAAAACATACAAGTAATATTGATTCATCAGTGCACAGATCTAATATATTCAATTATTTTCCTAGGAAAACATTTTGTTCTAGATATATGTCTCATGATATCATGTGAAAGTTTTTTTTTTTTTTAACTCCAGAATTTGTACTTAGTTTGTGGCATTTTCTCATTACTTTAGGGAGCAATGGTTGCAACATACTCTGCCCTGACTCACAAGACCTTTCAACCAGTCCTAGAGCCTGTAGCTGCTTCAAGCTTAGCCCAGCGACGGAGCATGAAAAAGCGAACATCAACTGGCCTGTAAGATTTGTGGTGTTCCTAGGCCAAACTGGATGAAGATGAAATTAAATGTGTGGCTTTTTTCCTATTCTTATCAAAGGCATCGTTGTCTGCTAAATTACTTGAATATTAAGTAATATTAAATCCCCATTTTTAGGGGAAGTGAGATTTAAAAAACCATTCACAGGTCCACAATATTCATACTATGTGTTTGCAGTAGTGTTCAAGTGTTTATTTAAGCATATAATTGGTGTCCACCAGGTCCTCACAACTTCTCTGCACACAAGCTTCTAAAATTCCTTTCAAATAAAGTTACTTTAATATTTTTTTTCTTGTTTCATACAATTATGGTTTGGGGAGTCATTACCAACAATCAGTATACATATATAATAGTATAATGACAAGCAATGTTAGTATTTTTAAACATCAGATCCTGAAGGATAGGCTTTTTCTAATGAAAGAAAAACAACAAAAACTTATTATAAAAGCTTGTTATTCCGTAAAACCAAAGGACTCCATTCATTTGACTCACTGTAGTTACTAAAATGTAAACATAGTGGTTTGGTGCCAGAGCAAAATACATTTGTGCTAATATATGAATTCTTGATATAGTTGGTGCCAAAGTTTTTATAGAAGAATTATATCTCAGATAATGTGTGCAGGCAGATCTGTATATTATCCATAATAAGTGGCCTCATTTAGAAATAAAGGTTTTTATAAGGCTTCTGTAAATTTTACATCATGGAAATTTAGTACAAGTGAAACTTTTTTTTTTTCCAAAGGCTTTATACTGTTGGTGTAATCTTATAAATAGGTCATAGTTAAGCCTTTGAAAATGAAGTATGTGGTGTTGACACTATCCTGGTGTTATATAAACTGACTTTCAAGTTAACCAATTGGATTGTAATCATCATCTATCCCCTTTATAAATGAACTACACTGTTGTTTTTCTGACTTCGATGTGCTTTGAAGTACAGTGTAGCATATCATTCTACCTTGAATCCTATGATAATACAGTTGACATCTTGCTGTAGTGGACTTGTGCATATAGCACACATGATATAGTATATTGTATTACAGTAAACTTTAGACAATGCTACTTAATCATTTTACTTCATGAAGATAAACTAACATTTTAAATATGAATAATATTAATGGTCTACAAAAAATTTGAGCACATTTTAAAATCATATTTATAAAAAACTGGCCAAATTGGTCTTATTTAATGTATAATTCAGAACCACTGTGTAGTATGTATTCTTTTCTCTAAATGATGAAATGCTAAAGAATCATTTCACGTTGTTGAAGAAAATACCGTTGCTACAACAACAGCAGCAGCTACTACTGCTACTACTACTACTACTACTACTACTACTACTACTACTGACAGAAAGAATTCATGAATGTAAACTGGAGGATATCACAGTTTTCTTTAGTGAATATAAGTGAACTACTTGTGCGTGTTAGGTGTACTATTTGCTATGTATTTTATTTTGCTTTATTCAGAGAGAAAGTTGATTACTGAGTGCTGAATTATACAATTTAGGCTAGGAAACTCGTAACTTTGGTATTTAATAAAAGAAACTATACATATTCTGTTTGTAATGTAAATAATCTATACCCCATGCACAAATATCTGTTTCCTGGGTGTGATATATTAAAGTATGTATTCTTATTTTGAGGTATCTTTTGGAAATAATTGAAAGAGATTAAATAACAATTTATGCCACATGAAAAATAATTACTTAGAAGTAGTTAGGTATCATGTCTTATGGCTTTTTATGTTCCATTTTGGCTTTTTTTCTCATTTGCTTTATTACTATATGTACTTGCATGTAACAGTTTGTAAGCATATATTCTGACTTATTTTCCTTCTGTCATTATCTAGTGCTGTTATGCCTTCCTATCAGAATCGATAAGTCAAACTCAGAGGTGTGATTTTGGTGTTGAAGTTTTCAGGACAGAGATACTATTTCCATGGATGCATTTTAAGTAATAAAATTAGGGGAAGTGAAATCAGAAAATGAAAAATGATTACAAAATAACTTTCAGGTTTTCTATAATCAATGGCTTTAAAAAGTAGACAGTCTTAATTAATTTTAAATTAGCTTGCTCAGAAAGGTCATGCCATACAGTCCTATCATAAAAGGAACACTATAAGAATTAAGCAATGAACAGCATGATTTCTGATCACCCAGTGAGGACTGACAGTGTATAAAAGATACAGGTATGCTACTGGATGTACCCGATAATTGTTTGAGAGTTTTCTAGTGAAAAACTCAAATATGCTAGCTTAACCACAGTAGTAGGGGGCAACCTTATTATATGGGAGAGCTTCAAAACATACTGTCATTTTGTAGAAGGAGCCCAGGTAAGGATGCCTAATCCTGTCCAGTTTGGCTAGAACTCCATAGCCAAAAATGCAGATTTGGATTGAACATTTTTTTGATGGGACTTCTATCAATGCTTAACTAGTAAAAACACATCTTTTCTATAAGACTTTAGAATACTGTGGTTTCTAATGGGTTCTTGAATAATGATTTTGCATTGTGTTTTTCTAGTTAATGGTTTTTGGTAGTATTTAATGATAGCACAGTTTGGGGTTTTATTGTTCTTGAAGGGGGAGGATATTGAATTTGTTTTTCTTAGAGAAAACATCAGGTTTGCTCAAATAGACTAACAACCTGTTGTCCTTAAGCACATACTACCATGAATAAACTCAGGAAACAATTTTCAAGAAAATTCGAATGCAGTGCTGGTGATGGGGATTTTTGTGGGAAAAAACAATGGTTTCAAGTCCTTTCACAAAGATCAAACTTCAGCCTATTTTGTTAGACTCAGCAATGTCTAAAACAGTGTTTTTTGTAATTTATTGTCATTGGTAATTCAATATAATAAAACAATTTTGATAGCACCTCTGTTTGGCTCAAAGGGATTCCATATGTTTAGGCAACCCACAACCTTAAGAACAGATGCTTGGTATTTATAATGTCTGCCCATTGGAACAACATGTTAAAATAGTACTGCCCAGAGAAACTTCCATACAGATTGACTAGTATTTTCTAGATAGAGGTCTTTCATATATGAAGAAGGAAAACAACCATTTATCTTGGCCCTAAGGCCCACAAGAAAACTTAGGCTTTAAAGTGGGCAAAGCATATTTGTGGTATTCTGTACATTCTCTTTCTCCTGGCTTTCCAGCCCCTTCATGCTATCTATCTTATTTGAGCACCTCACAGCAATACTCCATCAACGAAATTTACCCTATCCCCAGAAGGATTCTGTGTGATCCTTACTCCTTGTTCCTTCCTCTTCCTCTTCCCCAAATCAGGATATCCATTCTATCAGAACAGACATTTCCAGCTAAAAAGGTGAAAGGAAAGCTATCTTATTAAATTAATTTACATTTTTCTGTCAGTGGCTAATAGTTAATTGGCATTTTTTAAGGAAGTTGTGCATTAATCAAGTTTTTAGTTGCTGGATCTTCAGGCAATCTAACAAGGTGATAATTTTAAATTCAGTTCCTATCACGGAAAATATTTTGGGGGAAAGGAACAGTGTGTCCCAGGGTCAGAGTATCTAATAAACTGTTTCTTTTTTTGCACAATTTCCTTCCTACTTCCTTTCTACTTCTCAATCTACCTTTTCTCTTAAAAACTTTTAAACTTTTTAATCACAATGAACTTCTATGACAAAATGATGTGGAGGTAGACAGAGATTGGCGATTATTTCTGTATATGTTGTTTTTAAACCCATAGTTTTGTATTCTTGTTTCTCACAGTACATGACCTATATAGCATAAGAAGTTTTATTCCCCCCACCCCCCATCCCATTCCTGTTATAAAGAAAAAAAAAAGCACAGAGAGATTGAATCCAAACTACTCATGGAGTCCAAATTTTTCCAGATCCCTTTTCCAGATTTTAGGACCTAGAAATCCTTTAAGTCACAATGTTATTTCAAAAAAAAAAAAAAAAAAATGCAAGCCATATTAAGTATATATTGGCCAACTGCAATTAAACTTCTTTAAAACATTTTTGTTTTACATTTCAAAGCTTATTCAGGCATTTTTGGCATGTACCTCAAGATCAATGATTGTTGAAATTAGCAGAATAAATCAATAGTGGGCTATTTGCCTTTTTATGTGGGAATATAGTGGCATTGATAGTGATTATTCACAACATACATTATACTCATGGATGCACTGTTCCTGGTTTTAGTCTTACAGTGTAGTGAATTCCATCATATACTTTCAATAAAATGTTATGCTTGATCACCTAAAATTCAGTTTGGTTGCTAATACATAAGAGAAAAGGGAACTATACTTGAATATATTAAATTATAGACATAAGTTTCTTTGAAATATTTAGAAAAACAAAAGTTTTAGAATATGGAAATCCAAGCTTACATTATATTGGCAAATTATGTATGTTTCAATTATTCACTAAATAAATTTTAGCTAAATGCTTATAAATAAATATATATATGTAATTGCCAAGTTAGGGTTTGCTTTGTATTCACATTTCTAAACGCTGGACAATAGAGCTTCTGTGGATGACTGTTTTGCTGTAATTCCAACTGTCTAGTTATGGGAACTAATAATTTATTCTTCAAAAGGTATTAAGCATTTAATTTTACGTGGACAATTATAGAGAATGTACTAACTGCATTCGTTTATTAAAAAATTGTCAAAATGTGACTGATTAGGTTACTTTTATCTTTCCTATGAACTAATATTGCTCAGGTCACATTTTCTTTCTCTTTCCAAATTCATTCTCTCTGAAATTGCTGCTTATAACAAATATGTAGTGTTTTGTTTTTTAGTATGATAAAATTATTTTTAACAGCAGGAAAGCAGTCTATCAAGAAACAGCCGGCCGGGCACAGTGGCTCATGCCTGTAATCCCAGCACTTTGGGAGGCCGAGGCGGTGGATCACCTGAGGTCAGGAATTCGAGACCAGCCTGACCAACATGGAGAAACCCGTCTCTACTAAAAATACAAAGTTAGCCAGGTGTGGTGGCGCATGCCTGTAATCCCAGCTACTCAGGAGGCTGAGACAGGAGAATCACTTGAACCTGGGAGGCAGAGGTTGCGGTGAGCCGAGATTGTGCCAATTTCACTCCAGCCTGGGCAACAAGAGCGAAACTCCGTCTCACAAAAAAAAAAAAAAAAAAAAAAAAAAAAAAAGAAAAGAAACAGCCATTTAAAAAGTTACACATTAAACCTTAAATATCCAAATTCCAGCATGGTTTGTAAGTTAGAATTTATCTTGCATTAAATTCCATAGTACAAAAAAAAGGAGAAGGTGGTTTTTCTGTTTGATAAAAAAAAAAAAAAACAGGAAGTACTGTTGGTAGTTGGGAGTTACATAGGCTTTATGAAGCAACCACAGTTTGCTATAGCCACATTTTTTAAAAAATTGGTTTGCCAACACATCCCAAGCACTTTTGAATTCCTAAACTTATTTCTGATATTAAATATATATGTATATACTGACATTTCATTGCATTTCTGAAGACTGAAATGGCATTAAATAAAAGTTGTGTGTGAATTTGATTTACGTGTACTTAAAAACTTCAAAGCTGCAGTTAAACAATCCCCAGTGTTCAAAAACTATTTTATTGTTCTGACTATATTATGAATTTTATGTTACCATTTATTTTATTAATGTTTTCTTTAAACCATTGGTTTTTTGACATTAAAATTTTCATTTATTATACTAAGTTTTTTATCATGTAAGACCAAATCCAGTAGTTCATTTTACAATGTTTCTTTCTCTCACAATGCTGCTAAAGAAATGGCTATCATTTTGAATTTACAACATGCCAAAGAAGACATAGAAGTTATATTTATTTTTGTTCTTGTTAAAACTCTGTGAGCAACAGTTCTCAAGATATGTTAAATTACTGGCATTCTCTGGGTACCAAATAAAAAGGCTGCAACTTTCTAACATTTTTACCGTTGACCTCGCTTGATCATTTTTGGATATAAAATTTTGTGTCTGCTTTTATTAAACACATCCAGCTAATTGCAGAATTCATTGGCAATGATACACCTTGTTCAGGGGCCAGGTGTAACAGGTGTTTCAGGATATTGCTTTTTCATGCATATACCCTGATATGTCCTAAACTCTGGTATTTTTCCAACTTTTCTAATATTCTCATAAGGCAAGGAAATTCAATAAAATGAACATTAAAGCTTACAGTATTTTTAGGATTTATCAGGAAAATGCATTTGTTTGCAAGTTAGATAAGGTGACAACCTTTTCTACAGCAAAAAAAATTAAAATTTTAATCTCTAAAGATTGGCAACATTTTTTAAAGCTCAGAATCAAGTAGAGTAACAGAAATTTATGAAAAAAGTCACACGTGTATGCCGTGTTAATTTATAACAGCTGTACATATACACAGAAATTTTATTTCATATGCGGGTCAAAAATGCATTTGGAGCCCGGTAATCAAAAGCACCATGTACCTCCTCTGTTTCTCTCAATCAACTTCTTAAAGGTAAACAGGACTGACACTAGGCCAACTTTGGTAAGTGCGCAAAAATTGCTTGCATATTGGCCACCTCTTTTTAATCTCTTTTCTGCTTTTGCTTTCATGTCTTCCATCTCCCAGCCCCTTAATAAAATATCTGATCACCATTTATACATAATACTTTAAAAACCTTATTCTTATGAAAGTATTACTACATTCTGCAGTTGTATTTTAAGCATTAGCTACCAAAATAGGTAATGCATTTTTTTGGTCAGTGAGACCCTTAAATAATTTAGGCTTACCAAACTAAACATGATACACTTTTCTTTTTTTTTTTTTTCTTTTTTTTTTTTTTTGAGACGAAGTCTCGCTCTGTCGCCCAAGCTGGAGTGCAGTGGCGCGATCTCGGCTCACTGCAAGCTCCACTTCCCAGATTCACGCCATTCTCCTGCCTCAGCCTCCCGAGTAGCTGGGACTACAGGCGCCCGCCACCACGCCGAGCTAATTTTTTTTTTTTTTGTATTTTTTAATGGAGATGGGGTTTCACCATGTTAGCCAGGATGGTTAACTTCGAGGTACCCTCGATGTACCTCAAAGTGAGAGATAGAAGTATCAGACCACAATTTGCTTCTCCCATGAGTCCCCATGTGTCCTCTTGAACAAACAAACAGATTGAAACTGCTGGGGACATATTTCTGAAGATAGAGTTTACATTCTTTTACTATTGGCTTCTTCTAGAACCTAGAACCTACTCTACCCAAGCACAAAGCAACCTATTTCTAGGTCTGTTATTTCCTCATCCCTCTGCCCCACCTCCATGCCTAAGCATAGGTTAGAACCCAGGTTTTGCCTTTTTCTTTCCTTTTGCTTTAAGACTCTCAGATACATTTGGTATATTTTCTGAATGTAGGTACAGTGTTCTACACTTTTTTGTTTTTTTTTTTAAAGGAAGTGTTGTAAAGTACACCACCATATGTAACATCTCTGATCGTTCCGTTTCTGACAGAAATACTTTGTTAATAGATGCATTTTTTTTTTTTACTGAACAAATGTGTATTCTGTTTCTGTGCCAGACACTGATTTTATTCTCTTTCTAAAAGAGATTCAAGGTTGTTTATGGTAACAGTCATATATACAATAAGGATGCTAAAGTGAAACACAAAATCATGAAAATTAAAGGAAAAAAAAGTACGCCAAGAGCCAGGGATAATAAGGAATTTACTTGAACATTAATTTAACTCTGAGCTTCCTGACAGGAAAGGCAAGAAGAGAAATTTAGCAGGTTACATAATTATGTGAGAGGAAGAATGCTAATTCTTCAACAGATACTTTTTGCTTCCTAAGATTTTTAAAGCATTTAACAAAGAAGAACCTTATTACAAGGGGCATGGAACTGGAATAATGTCTTTAACTATGATTTTGCAGCAAATCCATTAGTACATTTTTTGGTTGCAAGTACTAGTTCCATAGATAAACTGGTTTAAAAAGCATAGGGGATTCATATCTTAGTCAAAGTCATGGGGACATTTTTTTCTCCATCTCTCAGATCTGTTTTCAATGCTGGCCCATTCTCAGGCATTACAATGGCAAGATGGCAATAGCAGGTCAAAACTTTACCTCCTCTCTCATGTGTAGCTCCTCGGGGTCGAGTAAACTCCATAAGAAATAATTGAACTGAAAGTGGGAAAAGGGGTGATCCCTCTGAAAGAAAGTAATGCATTGTAACCAGAATAAGGGCAAATAGATGGTGGATAGCAAACTACATTTCCGATTCTCCTTTTGGCTACTCGGCATCCTTCTCATATGTACAATTTTTAAATGCCTACGCCTACGTATAATGCATATACCACCATTGCCTGAAAAGAATACCTGAATTATCCATTTTTGTAATGTAACTTCAGAACAAAGAACTAGGTGATTTACAGTTCCCTCAGGGAGGGATGATGGCTGACTTACTTATAGATAAGTTTTTGTTGTTGTAGTTTCTCTTCAGTATCATTGTGTTTTCCATTTGAAATTTAGTTGGGTTTATTTGTTTACATTTGATTTCAGTTTTAGCCCCACTTTTCTATTCTTACTGATTTGTTTTTTGAATATGGACAACATATTAACATGTTTTCAAAAGTAAAAACCATACAGAAAGGTATACTCAGAGAACTGTCACTTTCTTCTTTTATCTTCCCCACCCCATTTTCCCACACTCCTTGTAGGTAACCAACTTCATTGTTTTGGGGTTCATGCTTTATGTGTTAATCCAAAGATAAGCAGATGTATATGTATGCTTCCTTATACATTTTTACAGCTGCATAGTACTTCATTGTGTATATGTGCTATAGTTTATCCAACCAAACTCCTGTGCTTTGACAGGTAATTTCCAATATTTCACAATGACAAATAATGCTGCAATAAATAATAACCTTATGTGTATACATTTTCATACTGCTGATGTATCATTTTGAGAAATTTCTGAAATTGAGATTGCTCTATTGGAGGATAAGTACATATGTAATTTTGTTAGCTATTGCCAAAATCCCCTCCATAGGTATTATGCCATTTTGTATTTTTTCCAGCAGTATGTGAGAGCACCTGATTTTCCCTAGGCTCACCAACAGAGCGCATTGACAGGCTTTGATATTTTTGCCAAGTTGCGGAGTAAGAAATGGAACCTCATTGTAGTTTTAGTTTGTATTTTTCTTATTATGAGTGAGGTTGAATATATTTTCATATTTTTGTGTCTATAAGATGTGGCACTGTTCACAATAGCAAGGAGTTGGAGCCAGCCCAAATGTCCATCAATGATAGAATGGATTAAGAGGGTGTGGCTCATGTACACCGTGGAATACTATGCAGCCATGAGAGGGGATGAGTTCATGTCCTTTGCAGGGACATGGATGAAGCTGGAAACCATCATTCTCAGCAAACTATCCAGGATCAGAAAACCAAACACCACATGTTCTCACTCCTGAGTGGGAGTTGAACAGTGAGAACACATGGACACAGGGAGCCTGTTGGGGGGTTGGGGGGCTAGGGTAGCGATAACATTAGGAGAAATACCTAATGCAGGTGATGGGTTGGTGGGTGCAGCGAATCACCGTGGCACGTGTATCCCTATGTAACAAAACTGCACGTTCTGCACATGTAACCCAGAACTTAAAGTATAAATTAAAAAAAGATTTTGGTCTCTGTTCCTCAACTCTCAAAAGTCTTTTCTGTAAATTAGGGCTGTTAACCATTTATCTCTGATATATGTTGCAAATTTGTTCTCCCAGATTGTCATTTGTTTTTTACTTTACTTATGGTACTTATATGCAAATTTTTCAAACTTGTTTTATGTAATCAAAATTATATTTTTATTTTATTCTATCCAGATTTTTAATCATAGTTAGAAAGCTTTTCTCAATATGTAAATTGTAGAATAATATGCTTTCTTCTAATATTTGTATAGTTTTATACTTTTTATTTAGCTGTATCATCTATTTTGGTTTTATTCCTGTGTGGTGTTAAGAATGTATCTAATTGTATCCTTTTCCAAATGGCTATCTAGTTTTTCCAGCACCAGTTGTAAAAACACTAACTTTGTCAAAGTGATTTGAGAAATACTACCCTTCTCATACACTACACTTTTATATGTAGCTGGCTTTTTTTCCCCTTGAACTTATTATTCTATCGCATTGATTTATCTGTACAATGTTCCAATGCTATACTGTTTGACTTATGGAGGCTTTCTGGTAGACTGTTTAAATATCTGACAGGGCTAGTTCTCTCCTGCCTCAAGACCTTCCTTTTCAGTGTTTTCCTAGCCATTCTTCTGTGTTTATTTTTCTATATGAACTTTACAATCAACTTGTCTATGCCTCATAAAAAAGTAGCGAAATTTTAACTACCTCAACGTGCAGCGGTGGAGAGAGAACAAAATTATTGCAATAAAATTTCTCATTTGGATTATGAGACAATGGGAAATAACACTCTATGGTCCTCAGTCCATAAAACATGACACACTTCTGGACTGGAATAGGATGTATTGCCCTAGCAATAGGAATGAGACCCTCAGTCACCCAACCTGTGAGCCTCTGGTTTTGCTACCTTGGAGTATGTTCATTGTCCTCCATGGCCACATCTGAGATAGGCATTTGGATTATCTTAATAAAGCTGCTCTCATTAGCAGCCTGCTTTCTCTCGGTGCCTCTAGGAACTAGAGATTGACTTAGGCCAGTGGTTCTCGAAGTGTAGCCCCTGGACAAGCAGCACCAGTATCATCTGGGAACTTGTTAGAAATGCAGATTCTTGAGCCTACTTCAGATCTATTGAATCAGAAACTCTGGTATATAGGGATCCGTAGTTTAACAAGGTAATTTTGATGCATGCTCAAATCTGAAATCTACTGGTTTAGGGATTGAATAAGTACAGGTTACTTACAAAGTTTGAGAATTCTCTGATAATATAGCAGCTTTAAAAGTTTCACCTTACTTTGATTATTTGTATTTGACAAACACCATGAATTAGTAACCCAACCAAGATAGTTTGTTAAGTCATTGTATTAGTCCATTTTCATGCTGCTGATAAGGACACACTCGACTGGGCAATTTACAAAAAAAAAAAAAAAAAAAAAAAAAAAAAGCTTTAATGGACTTACAGTTCCATGTGGCTGGGGTGGCAGAAGGCAAGGAGAAGCAACTCACATCTTACATGGATGGCAGTAGGCAAAGAGAGAAGCTTGTGCAGGGAAACTCCCATTTTTAAAACCATCAGATCTCGTGAGACTTATGCACTATCAGGAGAGTAGCATAGGAAAGAACCGCCCCCATGATTCAATTACCTCCAACTGGGTTCCTCCCATGGAACATGGGAATTGTGGGAGTTACAATTCGAGATGAGATTTAGGTGGGGACATAGCCAAATCACATAATTCCACCTCTGGTTCCTCCCAAATCTCATGTCCTCACATTTCAAAACCAATCACAAGTTCCCAATAGTCCCAGAAAGTCTTAACTCATTTCAGCATTAGCTCAAAAGTCGACAGTCCAAAGTCTCACCTGAGACAAAGAAAGTCCCTTCCATCTATGAGCCTGTAAAATCAAAAGCAAGTTAGTTACTTCCTAGATACAATGGGGGTACAGGCATTGGGTAAATACAGCCATTCCAAATGGGAATAACGTAGACTGATTGAAAGTAAAATGATAGAAAAAAAGATATATTATTTATAAAGTAATGAAAGCAGGAATGGCTATATTAATATCAGGTAAAATAGACTCCAGAGCAAAGAAATAGAAAGGACATTACACCACAATTAAGAAATCCACCAAGAAGACATAGCAATCCTAAATGTGTACGCACCTAGTAAAACAGATAAAAAATATGTGGAGCAAAAATTAATAGAATTCAATAGTGAAATAGAAAAATTCATAATTACAGTATGATTTTAGTTGGATATTTCAACATATATCTCTCAATAATTAAGAAAACAACTAAAAAGAAAATTTGCAGCATTATAAAAGAACTCACAAACACCATCAACCAACATGATTTAATCTACATTTATACAACATTCTTTTCAAGTGTTCACAGAACATATACCAAAATAGATTATATATTGATCTATGAAACAAACTCAACGCATTTTAAAAAATTAAATCATACAGAGAGTGTTCTCTGACCACAGTGAAATCAAACTAGAACTCAACAAGAGCAATATAACAGAAAAATATACAAACACTTGCAAAGAAAACAGCACATTTCTAAGCAGTTTATGGGCCCAACAAAAGTCTCAAATGTAATACAAATATTCGGTAAACTTAATTTTAAAAAATGTAGCACAAAATTTGTGGGACACAAAGCAATATTTAGAGAGGAATGAATAGCATTGAATGCATACCTTAAAATAGAGGAAGTCTCAAATCAATAAGCTTCCACCCAAATAACCTGTAGAAAGCAGAGCATAATAAGATAAAACCAAGCAGACAGAAAAATAATAAAAATAAGTGTAGAAATCAATAAAATTGGATCAGGGAAACAATAGATAAAATCAATGAAAAGAATAGTATATTTTTTGAAATGACAAATAAAATTGATTCACTTCTAGCAAGGCTACCAAAGAGAAAAAAGTGAAAACACAAATTATCAACATTAACAGTGATAGAGGGAATATAAATACATACCCTGCAGGCATCGGAATAGTAAGGACTACTAAAAACGACTCTACACACACAAACTTGACAATTTTGATGAAATGGACGAAGTTCTTGAAGAGCACAAACTACCACAACCCACTCAATATGTAATAGATAATCTCAACAGTTTTATAACTATTCAGTGAATTAACCACATAATTTAAAAAACACTACTCACTTTCTTTTATGAAGGTAGAATTATTTTGCTACCAAAAGCAGACAAAGGTAATACAAAAAAAGAGAAAACTATAAAATTTATAGTTGAAAATAAGATCCAAAATACCAAAACTACATGAAGATTGAAGCAAAATTCCTTAACCAAATATTAACAAAATTTGGCAATGTATACAAATAATTACATAGCATGACCAAGTGAGGATTATTTTGTGAGTGCCAGGCTGGTTCAATGTTCAAAAATCAATCAAAGTAATTCACCATTTTAACAAGCAAAAGAAGAAAAATCACATGATAATATAAACTGATGCAAAGAAAAATTTGACAAAATTTAATACATTTTTATGAATAAAATTATCAGAAAAATAGGAATAGAGGAGAACTTTCTTCATCTGATAAAGAGTATCTACAAAAACTATAACATACTTCCTAAGATTGGGATCAAGACAAGGATTTCTATGTGTTCACTCTCACTGTTGTTATTCAACATAATGAAGGAAGTTTTAATCAGTGAAATAAAACAAGAAAAAACATAAAACTGTCAATTTGAAGGTGACGTTATTGTTTTCATGGAAAATCCTAAGGAATCTGCAAAAAAAAAAAATACTCCTCTTGGAACTAGTAAATGAGTAGCACTATGGCAGACACAAGATCAACATATAAAAATCCATTGCATTTCTATTCTATATACAACCAATAAACATATGGACATCATAATTAGAAGTATAATACCACTTACAATCTCTCAAAAGTTGAAATACTGAGTTGGAAATCTAACAACATGTACAAGTGTGTATGCTGAAAACTACAAAAGACCAATAAAAGAAATAAAAAGATCAAATAAATTAAGAGAAATATGGTGTTTATGGATTTAAAAACTAAAATAATAAAGATGTTAATTTGCCCCAAGTTTACTTACAGGTCTAATAACATGCCTATCAAAATTCCAGCAAAATCTTCATAGTATAGATGAAATTATTCTAATATTTATGTGGAAAATCAAAGGAACTAGAATAGCAAGAACAATTTGAAAAGAAAGAATAAAGTAAGAAGGACCCACTCACCTGATTTCAAGACTTATGTAGCTACAGTACCAAAGACTGTTGGTATTGGTGGAGGGATAGACACACAGATCACTGGAATAGAATAGAGAATCTGGAAATAGAACCACACATACATGTTCAACTGATTTTTGACAAAGGTGTAAAAACAATTCAATGGGGGCATGATAGCCTTTTCAACAAATGGAGCCAGAACAACTAGACACGTATAGGCAAAACAAACAAACAAAAAAAACTCATATGTAAAAATAAGAAATAAAGAAGAGAAAAAAATAAAAAGAACCTCCACCTACATCTCACACATTATACAAAATTAAATCAAAATTCATAGTAGATTTAAATAAAAATATACAAATATAAAACTTTTTGAAACAAATAGAAAATTTTTAGAATCTAAGACTAAGTAAAGGTTTCTTAGTCTTTTCACCAAAAGCATTGTCCTTAGGAGAAATAAATATACATAAATTGAACTTCATCAAAATAAAAAATAAAACTTTAGTCTACAAAAGACCCTGATAATAGGATGAAATGACAAGCTATATTTTGGGAACTAATATTTTGCAAACCTCATGTTTCACAAAAGGTCTATTAAGTAGAATATGTTTTCTAAAAATCTCTAAAAACTTAACCAAAACAATCTAATAAAAGGATGGGCAATGCATTGCCAAGTCAATCCTAAGTCAACAGAACAAAGCTAGAGGCATCACACTACCTGACTTCAAACTATACTACAAGGCTACAGTAACCAAAACAGAATGGAACTAGTAACAAAACCGAGATATAGACCAATAGAACAGAACAGAGCCCTCAGAAATAATACCACACATCTACAACCATCTGATCTTTGACAAACCTGACAAAAACAAGAAATGGGGAAAGGATTCCCTATTTAATAAATGGTGCTGGGAAAACTGGCTAGCCATATGTAGAAAGCTGAAGCTGGATCCCTTCCTTACACCTTATAAAAAAATTAATTCAAGATGAATTAAAGACTTAAATGTTAGACCTAAAACCATAAAAACCCTAGAAGAAAACCTAGGCAATACCATTCAGGACATAGGCATGGGCAAGGACTTCATGTCTAAAACACCAAAAGCAATGGCAACAAAAGCCAAAATAGACAAATGGGATCTAACTAAACTAAAGAGCTTCTGCACAGCAAAAGAAACTACCATCAGAGTGAACAGGCAACCTACAGAATGGGAGAAAATTTTTGCAACCTACTCATCTGACAAAGGGCTAATATCCAGAATCTACAATGAACTCAAACAAATTTACAAGAAAAAAACAAACAAACCCATCAAAAAGTGGGCGAAGGATATAAACAGACACTTCTCAAAAGAAGACATTAACTCGTCATTTATATTAGGTGTATCTCCTAATGCTACCACTTCCCCCTCCCCCCACCCCACGACAGGCCCTGGTGTGTGATGTTCCCCACCCTGTGTCCGATTGTTCTCATTGTTCAACTCCCACCTATTAGTGAGAACATGCAGTGTTTGGTTTTCTGTCCTTGCGATAGTTTGCTGAGAATGATGGTTTCCAGCTTCATCCATGTCTCTACAAAGGACATGAACTCATCCTTTTTTATGGCTACATAGTATTCCGTGGTGTATATGTGCCACATTTTCTTAATCCAGTCTATCATTGATGGACATTTGGGTATGTACCCAAAGGATTATAAATCATGCTGCTATAAAGACACATGCACACGTATGTTTATTGCAACACTATGCACAATAGCAAAGACTTGGAATCAACCCAAATGTCCATCAATGATAGACTGGATTAAGAAAATGTGGCACATATACACCATGGAATACTATGCAGCCATAAAAAAGAATGAGTTCATGTCCTTTGTAGGGACATGGATGAAGCTGGAAACCATCATTCTCAGCAAACTATCGCAAGGATAAAAAACCAAACACCGCATGTTCTCATTCATAGGTGGGAATTGAACAATGAGAACACTTGGACACAGGAAGGGGAACATCACACACTGGGGCCTGTTGTGGGGTGGGAGGAGGGGGGAGGGATAGCTTTAGGAGATATACCTAATGTAAATGACGAGTTAACGGGTACAGCACACCAACATGGCACAGGTATACATATGTAACAAACCTGCATGTTGTGCACATGTACCCTAGAACTTAAAGTATAATAAAAAATAATAATAAAAGCCAGAAAAAAAATGAATGGAAAAATGACATGAAGAAACATTTCAATTGAAGAAGATATATGGATGACAGATAAAGGGATGAAAAAAAGGAATCAACATCATTAGCCATTAGGAAAATGCAAATTAAAATCACAATAGTGCTTTGATTCAAGATAGATGACTAGATGCAGCTAGTGGACACCTCTTGCATGGAGAGGAATCAATATAGTGAGTAAATATTCACACTTATAATTGATTATCTAAGAGAGAACACTGGAATCCACCAGGGAAAGCAATGGGAATTACAGAAAGCAAAGGAGAGTAAAACCAGGCAAACTGCTGAGCTGGGATTGATATGGAGCCAGGCGAGATTCCCTGACATTGAGAAGGGGTGCTCACACTCAGTGCTCCACACTTTTGCCATGAAGTTTTATAATCATAATTACCGGAGAGCTTTTTGACTCCCACAGGCCTCCAGATAAACATGGGAAGCTGCCTGTAAGTTGCACATAGTAATTGTTTGAATTCACTTAGAGTCCTATAACTCTTAAGCCCTGAACAGCTGCTGCCCAGCACCACCCTGACAGTCCCATCTGCCTGTGTTCTGCCCTGGGGCTGCTGCTGACACTGCCACTGCTGTCACCAGTGGGCTTGGAGGGGAGTGGGGAGACCAGGCACCTTCACACACACACCAGGGACAGATACTGTCACCACTGCGGCCAGACAGAGGTGTGAGCAAGTCATGCCTCTGCACAGCTGCCTGCCTGTATAGCTCTGAGTGAGAGGGGTCTGCCTTCCCTGGTGGTGAGCCTGCAGTGCAGCTACTCTTCTCCTGCCTGAGCATTCTACTGGTATCTTGGCAACCAGTCCACCTGTCCCTATTACAATCAGCACGTGAAGAAAAGTCTACTAGTCCAGTCCCTGATCTAGTCCCTCTGGGACAGAACATACTATTTGGGGGCCTGGAGACTGAGGGATTGCCTAGACCACTTTATCACCACTGGCACCTGATCACTCCCCCAAACATCTGAGGTCAGACTGACCCAAACAGCCAACACCATCACAGCTGGCACCAACCCGCATGTGCCAAAATGTACAGCCTTTTTCTGTCTCTACACAAAGCAGCAGTGTTCCTGCATTGGAGAAAAGGTGACCCACAAAGATATTTGTATTATGCTTAGGAAAGAGGATTCTCCCTGAAGCCATTTCCATGAAGAACTGTGAGACAATCATTTTCTGTGGCTATTAGCTGCATTGTGGCCTAGAGATAGACTACAGTGTCTGACTGAATTAAGAGTCATGATTCCTGGGACAGAGGTAGGATAGAAAAACAGATCTTATCCCTTCTTCCCTTGGATGTTAAGCTGGTGCCCACCCTCCCACTGTGTGGAGACCTTGGTACATTTCAAAAAGAACTTCCACTGCCACCCCCATCAGGGTTGGTGCCTACGCTGCTTGTCATTGGCGTATTTGTGGGCAAGCATGGTAGTCCAGCTCTATCTTTGTCTCTCAAGCCCATCCTGAGGTGTGAGGGGACAAGAACTCAGGGCACCAGAGCATTCCACAGACCCGCCCAGCACCCATCACCTGAAACAACAGCGCACCTCCCAATAAACAAAGATCAAACACATACCCATCTGTTTCAGCTGCAGGTGGCGTTTACCATGGGCGCCACCTACTGGCCTACAAATTAAACTGCACAACCCAATACAAAACCTGCTGACACAAGCACACAGTACTAAGGAAAGAAAGAAGCTTTCTGAGACCTCCACAATCCTGGTACTTCAGAAGTCAGCGTGCCTGCTCATATGCCCAGTAAATCACTAGTACATGAAACATTTGAGAAAGCCACTCCACAACACCTATCTATAATGAGTGAAGCCAAATGACCATGCACAACAAACATTATAGTCACATATTCCAGGGAAATGAAAGTAAATTAAAAAATAAGAAGAGACAGCTTTTACAGTGAGAAGGAACCAGTGTAAGAACTCTGGCAGTATGAAAAAACATAGTGTTATGATCCCCACAAAGCATCACCACCTCTCTAGCAATAGATCTAATCAAAATGAGAATTCTGAAATAAGAGATAAAGAATTCAAAATATGGATTGGAAGGAAACTCAGTGAGATCCAAGAGAAAGTTAAAAACCAACACAAAGAAATCAGAATAACAATTCAGAATATGAAAGAAGACATAAATATTTTTAAATGAAAACAGAATTTATAGAAACAAAAAAATTTTGAAGAAATTATAAAACACATGTTAAAGCTTTAAAAATATGCTAGACTAAACAGATGAAGGAATTTCAGAGCTGGAAGACAGGTGTTTTGAATTAACCCAGTCAGATAAAAATAAAGAAAAACAATTTTTAAAAATGAACAAAGCATTTGTGAAATACGGGATTATGCAAAGTATCCAAAGTATGATTTACAGGTATTCCATAGGGAGAAAAAAATAAAAAGTATAAAAAACCTATTGAAGGAAATAATTCAAGAAAATTTCCCTGGTCTTGCCAGAGTTTTAGAATTCCAGATGCAAGAAGCTCAGAGAACACCTGAACTCCTGGAAGATATATTGCAAGAAGAACCTCATCAAGGTATATTGCCTTCATTCTACCCAAAATCAATGTGAAGGAAAAAAAAATCCAAAAGCAGCAAGAAAGAAGTGTCTAATCACCAATGAAGGAAGTCTTATCAGACTGACAGTGGATTTCTCAGCAAAAACCTAAAAGAAAAACAGAAGAGACTGGGTTTCTACTTCCAGCGTTCTAAAAGAAAAAATTTCAGCCAAGAATATTGTTTCAGCTAAACTAAGCTTTATAAATAAAAGAGAAATAAAACCTTTTCCACTTAAGCAAACACTAAAGGAGTTCATTACAACTAGACCAGTCTTACAAGAAATGCTCAAGGGACTTCTAAACATTGTAGTGAAAGGTCACTACCCACAATCATCAAAACATACAAAAGTTTAAAACTAACAGATATTATAAAACAATTACACAATTGAGACTACAAAGGAACAAGGTAAAAATTAACATTAAGACAGGAACAAAACCTCACATTTCAATATTAACTTTGAATGTAAGTGTGTTAAATGCTCCACTGAAAAGCACAGATTGATGAAATGGATTTAAAAAAAAAACAAAAAAACAGAATCCAAGTATATACTGCTTATAAAAAACTCAGCTAACTGGTAAAGACACTGCAGACACAAATTTAAAGGGTCAAAAATATATTCCACACAAATAGAAACAAAAAGCAAGAAGAAGTAGCTATGCTTATATTTGATAAAACAGACGTTAAATCAACAAAAGTTAAAAAAATGGTTTTTATCATTCGGATATTTGTCCCCTCCAAATGTCACATTGTAATGTAGTCCTGGAGCTTCTGCAGATAATGGCAGACAGGAGGTAGGACTAGATTGCAGCTCCAGATAGAGCAGCATTGCAAAGGCTTGCACTGTGAATTTTAGCTCCAGATCGACTGCAAGAACAAACCAGCAATCCTGAGAGTAACCACAGACCCTCTGAAGGCAGCAGACTGCTCCTGCAGGACCCAGGAGACATCTCAAATACTGATAGTGCCCCAGCTGTGGAAGTGGGAATGGGAGACCCCCGTTTTTTGAACACACACCCCCACTAGAGAAGCTGAAGTTCTGTTTGGAGAAGTTCTTGACGTTACCTGGAGCTGAGTCAAGTTAGAGAGCCCAGCCTAGCGAAATACAGGGGTGGAGGAGGCAGCAGTGAGTCCCTGGGAGCTCACTGAATCCAGGCAGCACATTATTGCTTGGCATCACAGGGATCCATCAGGAGGGAGGCCAGAGGAGCAGGCAATAAAACCTCACCAGTGAGAAGGACTTCCTTAGCTCAACTTTGTAACAATTGGAGTGGGGCGAGAAGCCTCCTGGCCAGACCTTGGGAAAGGGTGCGAATTCTGCTTGCAGACTTCACAGGCGGGGTAAGAACTAAAGTCCTTTTCTTTCACAGCTGGGGGCAGAAAGCCTCCGGCAAGTTTTCAAGCCCAACCTCCACCTGGAAACAGACTCAGGGCTGTTGTGGGTGACATGGTGTTAGTAAGACCAGCCCTTCAGTTTGTGTGGGAGCTGGGTAAGGCCTATGATTGCTGGCTTTTCCCCATTTCCCTGACAACCTGCATGACTCAGCAGAGGCATTCATAATCCTCCTAGGTACACAACTACAGTGACCTGGGAATCTCACCCCATCCCCAACAGCAGCTGCAGCAAAACCCACCCAAAGAGAGTCTGAGCTCAGACACACGTAACCCCATCCCCACCTGATGGTCTTTCCCTACCCACCCTGCTAGTGGAAGACAAAGGACATACAATCTTGGGAGATCTAGGGCCCCACCCACTGCCAGTCTCTCTCCACACTACTACAGTTGATGCTTTCTGGAAAGTGCCACCTCCTGGCAGGAGGTCAATCAGCACAAAAATAGAGCATCAAACCACCAAAGCTAAAAACCCTCATGGAGTCCATTGCACCCTCTGCCACCTCCACCAGAACAGGCACTGGTATCCATGACTGAGAGACCCATACATGGTTCACATCACAGGACTTTGTGTAGAAACCCCCAGCACCAGCCAGGAGCTGGGTAGACTCACTGGGTGGCTAAATCCAGAAGAGAGACAACAATCACTGCAGTTCAGCTCACAGGAAGCCACAACCACAGGAAAAGGGGGCAAGTACTACATCAAGGGAACACCCTGTGGGACAAAAAAAAAAAAAAAACCTGAACAGCAGCCTTCAGCCCTAGATCTTCCCTTTGACAGAACCTACCCAAATGGGAAGGAACCAGAAAAGCATCCCTGGTAATATGACAAAACAAGGCTCAAAAACACCCCCCAAAAATCACACTAGTTCACCAACAATGGATCCAAACCAAGAAGAAATTCCTGACTTGCCTGAAAAAGTATTCAGGAGGTTAGTTATTAAGCTAATAAGGGAGGGACCAGAGAAAGGTGAAGCCCAATGCAAGGAAATCCAAAAAAAGATACAAGAAATAAAGGAAAAAATTATTCAACAAAATAGATAGCTTAAATAAAAAAAATCAAAAATTCAGGAAGCTCCTTTATAAATTACCCAACCACTGGTATTCTTTTACAGCAATGTAAAATGAACTAAGACACAGGTCATTATATAAAGAGATTGATTCAACTCTTCTTATATAACAAGATTATATAGCAAGCTACTAAAAAACCAGAGCACCCAGACTCATTAAAAACATTCTACTAGACCTCAGAAAACAGATTGATAGTAATATAAAAATAGTGGGAGACTTCAAACCACACTGACCACACTGACAGCAATAGACAGATAATTGAGGCAGAATATCAACAGAGAAACACTGGACTTTAATTGGACTCTAGAAGATACGGGCCTAGCCACAATAAGTCTCAATAAATTTTATTTTAAAAATTGAAATGATACTGTGAATCCTCTTGGACCATAATGGAATATAACTAGAAATAAATTCCAAGAGGAACTCTCAAAAATATACAAATACATGAAAATTTAACAACCTTCTCATGAATAATCATTGAGTCAACAATGAAATTAAGGCGGATATAATTTTTTTTTTAGAAAGGAACACAAATAAGAATACAACATGCCAAAACCTCTGGGATCAACAAAAGCAGTGCTAAGAGGAAATAATATAGCAATAAATGCATGCATTTAAAAGATAGAAATGACTCAAATTAACAACCTAATGCTGCACCTCAAGAAAATAGAAAAAGAAGAACAAACCACACCCACAGCTAGCAGAAGAAAAGAAATAACAAAGACTAGAGTGGAATTAAATGAAATTAAGACAAAAAAAGGGTCAACAAAATGAAAAGTTGGTTCTGTGAAAAAATAAAAGAAAAGACTGCCACCTAGATTAACCAAAAAAGAGAAGATTCAAATAAGCACAATCAGAAATGATAAGGTGACATTAGAGCTGACAACACAGAAGTACTAAAGATCATCAGAGGCTACTATGAACAACTATACATTCATAAACTAGAAAAACTAGAGTGAAAGGATAGATTCCTGGAAGCATACAACCTCCCAAGATTGAACCAGAAATAGAAATAATGAACAGACCAATAATGAGTAGTAAAATTGAATCAGTAATTAAAAAAAAAAACCTCCCAAGAAAAAAATGTCCAGGACCAGACACATTGATAGCTGCTTTCTACCAAATGTACAAGGAAGAACTGATACCAATCCTGAAACTGTTCTAACAAATCAAGGAGGTAATGCTTTGTAACTCAGTCTATGAAATTAGCATAATCCCTATAACAAAGCCATGCAAGGACAAGAAAAAAAGGAAAACTATAGGCCAAACTTTCTGATGAACACAGATGCGAAATATTAACAAACCAAATTCAATAGCACATTAAAATAATGCAATATGATCAAGTGGATTTTATCTCAGGAATGGGAGAACGGTTCAATATTCACAAACCAATAAATGTGATTCACCACATAAATATAATTAAATTTAAAAAGCATATAATCAACTCAATAGATGCAGAAAAACACTTGATTAAGCCAAGCATCCCATCATGAATGAAACCCTCCACAAACTAGGGATGAAAGGAACATACTTCAAATTAATAAAAGCCATATATGAAAAACGAGAGCTAGCATCATACTGATTGGAGAAACTGTGAAATCCTTCCCTCTAAGAACTAGAACAAGGCAAAGATGCCTACCTTCAGCTCTCCTATTCAACATAGTACCAGAAGTCCTAGCTGGAGCAATTAGGCAAGACAAAGAAATAAAGGGCATTCAGATAGAAGAAAAAGTCAAATTATCTCTTCTCACTGAAAACATAATTGTATTCCTAAAAAACCATAAAGACTCCTATAGAAGACTCTGAGATTTGATTAGCAACTTCAGTAAAGTCTCAGGATACAAAATAAATGTACAAAAATTGGTAGCATTTCTATACACCAATAACATTCAAGCAAATAACAAAATTAAGAACTCAGTCCCATTTATAATAGCTACCAAAAAATACCTAGAAATATAACAAAAAATATAAAAGGTATCTACAAGGATAACTACAAAATACTGATTAAAAAAATCATAGATGGCATGGTTTTGGTCTGTGTCCCCACCCAAATCTCATGTCGAATTGTAATCCCCAATGTTGGTGGTAGGACCTGGTGGGAGGTGATTGGTTCTCATAATATTGAGTGAGTGCTCATGAGATCTGGTTGTATAAAAAGTGTGTGGCACCTCTCTCCTCTCTCTTTTTCTCCTGCTCCAGCAATGTAAGACATGCTTGCTTTCCTTCAAGTTCTGTCATAATTGAAATCTTCCTGAATCCTCCCCAGCCATGCCTCCTGTATAGCCTGTGGAACTATGAGCCAATTAAACCTCTTTTCTTCATAAATTACCCAGTCTCAGGTATTTCTTTTTAGCAGTGCAAGAACAGACTAATGCAGAAAATTGGTACCAGGAGTGGGGCATTGTTGTAAAGATATCTGGAAATGTGGAAGCAGCTTTGAAACTGGGTAATGGGCAGAGGTTGGAAGAGTTTGGAAGGCTCAGAAAAAGACAGGATGATGAGGAAAAATTTGGAACTTCCAAGAGACTTGTTATGACCAAAATGCTGGTAGTGATATGGACAGTAAAGGCCAGACTGATGAGGTCTGAGATGGAAATGAGGAACTTATTGGGAACTGGAGAAAAGATTACTTTTGTTATATGTTAGAAAATAAGTTGGCTTCATTGTGCCCCTGCTCTAGGGATCTTTGGAAATTTGAAGTTGAGAGTGATGATTTAGGTTATCTGGCAGAAGAAATTTCTAAGCAGCAACACTCAAGATGTGGCTTGCCAGTTTTTAGCAACCTATGCTCATATTCATGAGCAAATAAGTGAGATAAAACTAAAAATTATATTTAAAAAGGAAGTGCAGTGCAAAAGTTTGTAAACTTTACAGCCCAGCCATGTTGTAGAAAGGAAAAACTCATTTTCAGGGAGGAATTCAAGCAGGCTGTGGAAATTTGCATAACTAAATGGAAGGCAAATGATGATAGCCAAGACAATGGAGAAAAAACCTTGAAAGCATTTCAGAGACCAGGGTAGGAACCCCTCCCATAACAGGCCAAGAGGCCTAGGAGGACAGTATGGTTTCATGTGCTGGGACCAGGGCCCCACTGCCTTGTGCAGCCTTGGGACAGTGCTCCCCACATCCCAAGCAATTGAGCTTCAACTGTGGCTGAAAGGGGCCAAGGTACAGCTGAAGCCGCTGCTTTGGAGGGTGCAAGTCATAAGCCTTGGAAGCTTCCATGTAGCGTTAAGCCTGCAGGTGCACAGAGTGCAAGAGTTGAGGCTTGGGAGCCTCTGTCAAGATTTCAGAAGATGTACAGAAAAGCCTGGATGTCCAAACAGAAGCCTGATGCAGGGGTGGAGCCCTCATGGAGAACCTCCTCCATGGCAATGCACAGAGAAGATGTGATATTGGAGCCCCCACACAGTCCCCACTGAGGCACTTCCTAGTGAGGGTGGGAGAGGAGGGCCACCATACTCCAGACCCCAGAATGGTAAATACACCAGCAGGTTGAACCCTGCACTTAGAGGAGCCATAGACACTAAATGCCTGCCCATGATAGCAGCTGTGGGGACTGAACCTTATGAAGTCACAGGAGCAGAACAACCCAAGACTTTTGGAGGCCACCCCTTGCATCAATGTGCCCTGGATGACAGACATGGAGTCAAAGGAATTGTTCTGGAGCTGTGAGGTTTAATGATTGAACTGCTGGTTTTCAGACTTGCATAGGGCTTGTTGCACCCTTCTTTTGGCCATTTTTCCCCTTTGGAATGGGAGTATTTACACAATGGCTATACACCCATTGTATCTTGGGAGTAACAAACTGTTTTTGATTTTATAGGTTCATAGGTGGCGGGGACTAGCCTTATCTCAGATGAGATTTTGGACTGAGGAATTTTGAGTTAGTGTTGGAATGAGTTAAGACTTTGGGGGACTGTTGAGAAGGGATGATTTTATTTTGCAATGTAAGAAGGACATGAGATTTAGGAGAGGAGAGGGACAGAATGATATGGTTTGTATCTGTGTCCCCACACAAATCTCATGTTGAATTGTAATCCCCAATGTTGGAGGTAAGGCCTGGTGGGAGGTAATTGGATAATTGAAGTGGATTTCCCCCTTAGTGCTGCTCTCATGACAGTGAGTGAGTGCTGAAGAGATCTGGTTGTTTAAAAAGTGTGGCACCTTTCCCACTCAATCTTCCTCCTGTTCTGGTCATGTAAGGCATGCCTGTTTTCCCTTCATCTTCTGCCATGAGTGAAAGATTCCTGAGGCCTCTCCAGCCATGCTTCCTGTACAGCCTGTGAAAGCATGAACCCATTAAGCCTATTCTCTTCATAAATTACCCAGTCTCAGGTATTTCCTTATAGCAGTGCAAGGATGGTCTAAAAACAATAGATGGCACAAACAAATGAAAAAACATTAAATGCTCATGGATTGGAAGAATCAATACTTCTGAAATATCCATACTGCCCAAAGTATTCTACAGATTCAATGCAATTCCTATCAAACTACCATGTGATTTTTCTCAAAATTATAAAATGATTCTAAAATTTATATGGAACCAAAAAAGAGCCTGAAGAGCCAAAGAAAATCCTAAGCCAAAAGAACAAAGCTGGAGGCATCACATTAGCTGAATTCAAATTATAGTACAAGGCTACATAATCACTAAAACATTATGGTACTGGTATAAAAGTGGACACATAGACCCATGGAACAGAATAGAGAACCCAGAAATAAAGCTACATGCTTACAACCAACTGACATTTGATGAAGTAAAGAAAAATATACACTGGGGAAATGATATCCTATTCAGTTAATGGTGATGGAAAAATTAAAATAATAAAACTGGACCCCTATCGCTCACCATATAAAAAACTAACTAAACATTTATTAAATACTTAAATGTATGACCTGAAACTATAAATATACTAGAAGAAAATCTTGGAAAAACTCTTCTGAACATTGGCCTATGCAAATAATTTATGACCAAAAGGGAAATTTATGTCCTCAAAAGGAAATGCAATGAAACCAAAAAATAGACTAATAATGGGACTTAATTAAACTAAAACTTTCTGCACAGAAAAAGAAGTAAGCAAATAATTTATGACTAAGTCCTTAAAATGAAATGCAACAAAACAAAAAATAGACAAATAAGACTTAAACTACAAATCTTCTACACTGCACAAGAAATAATATCTTACACAATGAAAAAAATTGCAAACAATTCATCAACGAAGGGCTAATCTCCAGAATCAACAAGGAACAAAAACAAAGCAACAAGCAAATGAGCAAATATTTTATTACAAAGTGGGCCAAAGACACAAACAGACATTTTTCAAAAGAACAAATACAACTGGCCAACAAACATATAAAAAATGCTCAGCATCACTAATCATCAGAGAAATGCAAATTAAACCCACAATGATATACTATTTTACATCAGTCAGTATGGCCATTATTAAAAAGTCAAAAAACATGTTGGTGAGGATGCAAAGAAAAAGGAACACTTAAACACTTGTTAGTGGGAATTTAAATTAGTACAACTTTTTTGAAAATCAGTATGGTGATTTCTCAAATAACTAAAAATATAACCACTATTCAATTCAGCAATGCCACTACTGGATAACTACCCAAAGGGAAAGAAATTATATCAAGAAGACATCTGCACTTAAATGTTTATTGCAGCACTGTTTATAATATCAAAGTCATGGAATCAATCTAAGTGTCCGTCAATGGATAATTGGATAAAGAAAATGTGGTACGTACACACAATGGAATACTATTCAGTCATAAAAAATAATGAAATCATGTGTTTTGCAGCAACATGGATAGAGCTGAAGGCCATTATTCTAAGTGAAACAGCTTAGAAATGGAAAGTCAAAAACCATGTGTTCTCACTTATTAGTGGGAGCTAAACAATGGGTACATATGGACATATAGAGTGGACCATTAGCCATTGGAGATTCCAAAAGGCAGTAGTGTGGAAAGGGGTGAAGGATGAAATATTACCTATTGGGTACAATGTATACTGCTCAGATGGTGGGTACACTAAAAGCCCAGACTTCACCACTATGCAATATAGCCATGTAACACAACTGCATTTTTACCCTTAAATCTATTTTTAAAAATCACAATGACATATTATTACACATACCTATGAGAACAGGTACAATAAGAAGGTGTTATGCAGAGAAGCTGGAATGGTCATACATTGCTGGTAAGAATTTAAAAAGATATAGGAACTCTTAAGAACAATTTGACAGTTTCTTAAAACAACTAAACATGCAACTACCATGTGACCCAGCAATTTCACTCCCGGAGATTTATCCCAGAAAACTTATATTCACATAACAATTTGCATGCAAACGTTAGTAGCAGCTTTATTCATAATGGCCCCAAAATGCAGACAATCCAGATGTTCTTCAATGCATACACTGTTGTAAACAAATATCCATACCACAGAATACTACCCAGCAATTTAAAAAAGAAAATGAAATGATATGTACAACTTGGATGAACTTCCAGATAATTATGTTGGGTGAATAAAACCAATTCTAAAATGTTACATAGTCTATAATTTAATTCCATTTATATAACATTCTTTTTTATGTATGTATTTATTTATTTATTTTGAGATGGAGTCTCGCTCTGTCGCCCAGGCTGGAGTGCAGTGGTGCGATCTCGGCTAACTGCAACCTCTGCCTCCCAGATTCAAGCAATTCTCCTGCCTCAGCCTCCCTAGTAGCTGGGACTACAGGTGTGCACCACCACGCCCAGCTAATTTTTGTATTTTTAGTAGAGACAAGGTTTGACCATGTTGGCCAGGCTGTTCTAGAACTCCTGACCTCAGGTAATCCACCTGCCTCAGCTTCTCGAAGTGCTGGAATTACAGGTGCAAGCCACCATGCCCAGCCCATTTATATAGCATTCTTGAAATGAGAAAATTATAGAGATGGGGAATATATCAGTTGTTTCCAGGGATTAGAGATGATACTGGCAGTAGGCAAGAGAGATGTGACTGTGGCTATAAAAGACCAACATGGGAGGCCAGGTGCAGTGACTCATGCCTGTAATCCAAGCACTTCAGGAGGCCAATGCAGGCAGATCACTTGAAATCAGGAGTTCAAGACCAGCCTGGCCAACATGATGAAACCCTGTCTCTACTAAAAATACAAAAATTAGCTGGGCGTGGTGGCATGCACCTGTAATCTCAGCTACTAGGGAGGCTGTGACATGAGAATCACAGAGGCAGAGGTTGCAGTGAGCAAAGACAGCACCACTGCACTCCAACCTAGGGGACAGAGTGACACTTAAACTGGTATGGTAATTTAAGTGTTCTCTATCTTGACTTTATCAATATCAATTTCTTGGTTGTGATATTGTACCATAATTTTGCAAGATGTTACTATTCAGGGAAAGTGATAAAGGATACATAAGATTTCTCCATATTATTTTGTACAACTGCATGTGAAACTACAATAACTTCAAAATAAAAAGTTTAATTAAAAATTTGCCTTACAAGTGCTATAGAGCTGTACATGTTATAAAATCAGAATCAGAAATTACTTTAAGAAGTGGCATAATTTTTGGAGAGTTCATACTGGATAAGCTTTCCATTGAGAACTTTCTCATCAAATTTTACTGAACTAGTTGGTAGCAATAAACAAAACAGATTAAAAACTGCTAGTAAAATCCTGTAAGACTATGTGCTAGAGTACCTACTCTGTGTGCATGGTGTTGTGGCTACAGAGGGATTGGTTTAATATAACTGTTAATGACAAAAGACCCTGATATTTCTCCTTCCTAAATAATACCCCTCCAGTTTACGAGAACAGCCAATGGTCAGTGTGGAAGAAAGATTCACGGTGATAATCATGTTTTCTTGAATGTATTCTTCTTTCCTCCTCACCACAGGAAAATAAAAACAGTAAAAAATAATTTAAAGAAATTAGAAAAAGAGAGAAGAAATGGACATGGAAAAAATTGAGCATCTTTTTAAGCAAATAAAACTTTCTTTAAATTTGAGGATTGGGGGAAGCACACTCAGCTCTGGTTGAGAAGCAAAATTCTTCATTCTTAGGCACCAGTGAAAGTCACTGCAAAGTAGAGATTGGCTCAGGACACTGAGCTTTGAAGAGTAAGTTATCCCTCATCAGTCTAATAAGCAAAATAGTAGCTTGTGTGGGAGAGGGAAATGAAAATTATCTGTATTTCTTTTTTCTAAGGAATAAACCAGTAAGCAGAGTTTCCCCTTCAGTAGTTAGTGCCCTTTACTACATCTCCTGGGTGTGTTATTGCTTTTGGAGAAAGGTTGTATTTTAGAAACAATTCCCCTTAGCTTACTTATATTTGGGAAATAAATAATTTCGATGGTAATTTAAGAAGAATGAAATCCCACTTACCTCTTCCTCCTTGTTTTAGCATTCCCTGGCCCTGAAACTTAGGCTAGGGTAAGGTTTGGGAGAAAAAGTGCAACCATGTGCATGGAAGCTCTCCATACCAGAGAAGTGGGTTCTGCCAATTATTTCCAACATATATTCTTTAGCTCCCCAATCCTAAACAGCAGAATGTTTGGCATCCTTGGAGCCCCCTCACCCTCTCTTTTCACAATCCTTTACTTTTAATATTTTTCTCTTGACTCCTTCAGGGCTCTGTCCCCAAAACCTTGCCTTGGGCTATTCTCTCATGCAGAAGGGAGTTGGTTTGATTGTTTGTTTTTTTCTAAAAGACATTTTGAGCCTTGCTTGGGACTTCTAGGGTGCTCCATAACCTAGGGGACCAAAGTGAGAAATGAGGTTACTTGGATTGGCCCAGGGTAAAAAAGGGAATCTAGAGAGGTGTTGAGTACATTGTTGAAATAGTCAACCTTGATATATAGACTGAATAGGAGGAAAAAACAAGGCCAGAAGCAGAATAATCTAGTGGGAAAATAAGGAATGTGCAAGGCACGGGATGTAAATGTGAGGGTGGAGTGGGAGTGGGGGTGGTTAAGAAAGAGGGATAGGATATAGTGGATAGAGAGTGAAAATCACAAGTTGGATATCTTGGAGGTGTGATGTGAATGCTTCAAAGTTTCTTCACAATGTGAAAAGATATTGGATTAACTCAAGATTCTGACTTGAGATTTTTATGATACTCATTACGGTGGTTTTACTAGACAAGTGAACTGTGAATTATTTTTCAGAGTCACAAGTTCTGGAAAAGATCATAAGGGCCAACCCTTTGTAAAATTGTGAAACACCTTTGTTTTCAATGTTCTTTCTAACCTGTGCCTCACCTTGAGAGGTCCCCACCCCTTTAAACCCAGTGCCCTCAGCTAGTAGGACCATCTTCCTAGAAACTCCATTCTATTTACATAATTCCTCAAATTAGGCTTAGACTTATCTCTATTCCTCTAACTAAACCATGAGTTTCAGGTTCTAGTCTTATTAAACAACAGATTAACCTGATAAATGCACCACTGCAATTTGTTTCTCTCCAGCACTCACTTCTAGTTCAATCTTAATAACCATTTGCATTTCAAGCACCTGGTTTGGCCAGTGAAGGAATTTTTTTTTCATTAAGGAGTGGTCTTTCCTTCTCCCTCTGTCATTCCATCACACCACTTACATAGTCATTTTGTGCAAATAAAGCTATCCGAAAATCATTATCTAAGGCTTCCAGTATCATAAAATGTAGCAAAAAATGTTTACCTGACCCTGATGACCCATATGCCTTCCGCAAACTTTAATACTCTGTATACTAAATTGTTCTTCTCCAGGTATTTTGCTCCTGCTTCTCCTTTCCCCAAGATATTTGCAAAGTTCAAGCTTTTGGAGCCTTAATGAAGTAAGGATATCTAGCAGGTAACTGCATTCTTGTAATTTCAAGTCCAGGTATACAAATGAAAACAGTACTTACCTTCCCTGTAGCCATTACCCTGGCAGTATTATGTAAATATGTTTGTTCATAGTTTGTGAGTTTCTTCTCAGATATTCCTTGGTTAAGGCCTTAAAGCCACTGGATTGCCGCCAGGCCAGAAAAGACACATTAGTTATTAATTTATAGGGTATTCCTTAGAAGATTTCACATTGAAAGATAGATGACACATAAGTAAAACATATCCAAATTTTGTCATTAAATATTGGCTTACATGACCAATTTGTACTTTCTTGAATGTGTCAGAAGTAAAAGCCCTATTACAGCTTCATTTAGACAAAATTTTTTAAAAGATTATATTAACACAGGAAATAGAAGATGATGCAAGACAGAAAATGTAAAATAAATTGTATTGAAAAACTTGTAAATAGGAGGCCTGAATGGTTAGAAACCTTCAGAAAAAACTATAGACCTATAACTTGAAATGGGTAACAATACTGCTGACCATTAGCAAATGCTTTTTATATAAAAATGTGAGATACCATGGAATCTAAAAATCAAAACAATTGAACTCATGGACATAGTAGAAGGATGGTTACCAGTGGCTGGGAAGGGCAGTGGGGCAGGGGTAGGGGGGTGATGGTGAGGATGGTTAATGGGTATAAAAAAATAGAAAGAATAAATAAGACATAGTATTTACTAGCACAACAGGGTGACTATAGTCAATAATAATTTAACTGCACATTTTAAACTAACTAAAATAATATAGTTGGATTGTTTTTAACACAACAGATAAATGCTTGAGAGGATGGATACTCCATTTTTCATTATGCGATTATTCTACATTGCATGCCTGTATCAAAACATCTCTTGTACCCCATAAATACATATACCTACTATGTACCCACAACAATTGAACATTAAAAATTATACAAATAAAAAATATTTAAAAATAAAGTGTCATATTTAAAAATAAAGTACCATCATACCAGCTGCAAACAAGGATAATTTGACTTATTCCTTTCCAATTTGTATGTCCTTTATTTCTTACTCTTGTCTCATTGATCTAACTAGGACTTTCAATACTATGTTGAATTACAATGATGAAAGTGGGCCTTCTTGTTATGTTAGATCTCAGATCTTAGAAAAAAGCCTTTCAGATTTTCCCCATTCAGTATAATACTAGCTGTGAGTCTGTAGTATATGGCTTTTATTATGTTGAGATATGTTTTTTCTACACCCAGTGTTTTTTATTGCTTTTATCATGAAGAAAGTTGAATTTTATCAATTGCTTTTCCAGCATCAATTGAAATATTCATATGGCTTTTGTCCTTCTTTCTGTTAATATGATGTATCACATTAATTGATTTGTATATGTTGAACAATCCATGCATCCCAGTGACTAATCCCACTGGGACCTGAAAATCATTGTTTAATGTATCGTTGAATTCAGCTTGCAAGTATTTTGTTGCAAATTTTTGCAACAATATTATTCAGAGATACTGGCCTGTAGTTTTCTGTTTTTTTTTTAATGTGTCTTTGATTTTGGTATCACGTAATACTTGGTTGTACAATGAGTTTGGATGTATTCCCTCTTCTGCCATTTTTTGGAATACTTTGAGTAGTGTTTATATTAGTTCTTCTTTAAATGTTTGGTAGAATTCAGCAGTGAATCCATTGGGTTCAAGGCTTTTCTTTACCTGAAGGTATTTTATTGCAGCTTTGACCTCACCACTTGTTACTTGTCTGTTCAGGTTTTGGATTTCTTCATGGTTTAATCTTAGTAGGCTTTATGTGTCTAGGAGTTTGTACATTTCTTCTATTGGAATTATTGGAATATTGTTGTTCACATTAGCCACAAATGATCTATTAAATTTTTTCAGTATCAGTTGAAATGTCTTGTTTTTCATCTCTGATTTTATTTATTTGGATCTTCTCTCCATTATTCTTGGTCTGGCTAAAGGTTTGTCAATGTTGTTTAACTTTTCATAAAACCAACTTTTTATTTCATTAATATTTTGTATTACTTTCATCATTTTAATTTCATTAATTTCTGCTCTGATATTTATTCTTTGTTTCTACCAATTTTGCATTTGCTTTCACTTGCTTTTCTAGTTCTTTAAGATGCATTGTTAGGTTGTTTCTGTGAAGCTTTTCTTTTTTGATGTAGGCTCTATAGCTATTAATGTATCTCTTAGTACTCCTTTTGCTGTATCACATAGGTCTTGGGATGTTGGGTTTTCTTTCTCATTTATTTCAAGAAATTTTTCACTTTCCTTCTTAATTTCTTCATTGACACACTGGTCATTCAGAAGCATATTGTTTAATTTCCATGTATTTGCATAGTTTCCAAAAGTATTGTTCTTCTGTAATTTCTATTTTTATTCCATTGTGGTCAGAGAAGATGCTTGATATTATTTCATTTTTTTTGAGTGTTTTAAGACTTACTTTGTTACCTAACATATGGTCTATCCTTCAGAATGATCCATGTGCTGAGGAAAAAAATGTGTATTATTCAGCTTTTGAATATAATGTTCTGTAAATATCTATTGAGTTCATTTGTTCCATAATATAGATTAAGGCAAATTTTTTTGTTGAGTTTCTGTCTGGGAGTTCTGTCCAACTCTAAAAGTGGGATGCCAAGGTCTCCAGCTATTATCACATTGGAGTCCTTCTCTCTCTTTAGTTCTACCAATATTTGCCTTATATATATAGATGATCCAATGTTAGAGAATAGATATTAAAAATTTTTATATCCTCTTGGCGGAATTGACCTCTTTATCATTGTATGGTTACTTTTGCCTTTTACAGTTTTTGTCTTGAAATCTATTTTGTCTGATATAAGCATAGCTACTCCTGTTCTGTTTTTGATTTCCATTAGCAGGAAAAATATTTTTCCATCCTTTTATTGTCAGTCTATGTGTGTCTTTATAGGTGAAGTGTGTTTCTTGTGGGCAACAGATCATTTGGTCTCTTTCTTTATCCATTCAACCACCCTATGCATTTTTATTGGAGAGTTTAGTCCATTTAAATTTAATGCTATTATTGATAAGTAAGAACTTACTCTTTTAATTTTGTTATTTGTTTTCTGATTGTTTTGCGGTTTTCTTTTTTTTTCTTTCCTTACTGTCTTCCTTCTAGTGATGGTCATTTACTCTTTTCATAAAATTTAGTTTCTTGATTTTTATTCTCCATGTATTTATTCTGTGTATTTTTGGTTTGAGGTTACCATGAGAATTGCAAATATTATTTTATAACCCACTATTTTGGGCAGATAACAACATAACACTGTTTGCATAAACAAACAAGCGAACATGCAAAGAGAAAACTAAGAAAAACTTTACACCTTAAGTTTGTCCACACACTTTTTAACTTTTTGTGGTCTCTATTGTAATCTTATTGTACTGTGTATATGTTCAAAAATTGTTGTAGTTTTTACTTATAACTGATTAATTATGTAAACTTATTGCATATTATTGTTTTTTTTTTCTGACTGAAGTATTCCCTTTACCATTTATTGTAGGAACAGTTTGGTGTTGATGTAATTCTTCAGCTTTTGTTTGTTTGAGAAAGTCTTTATTTCTCCTTCATGTATGAGGGATATTTTTGCCAGATGTACTATTCTAGGGTAAAATTTTTGCCTCTCCATATCCTGACATGTAAGGTTTCCACTGAAGAGTTTCCTGCCAGATGTATTGGAACCCCACTGTAAGTTATGTGTTTTGTTTTTATCTTGCTGCTATTAGAATACTTTTGTCCTTTCCCTTTAGAAGTTTGATTATTAAATGCCTTTGAAGTAGTCTTTGGGATAAATTTTCTTGGTGTTCTATAACCTTTTTGTAATTCAATATTGATGTCTTTCTGTAGGGTTTGGAAGTTCTCTATACTTATTTTAAACAAATTGTCTACCCTGATGTCTCCTCTATGTTCCCTTTAGGGTCAATAATTCTTATACTGGCCCTTTCGAAGCAAGAGAAACTCTTCCCCACTATTTCCTCTCCTCTCCTCAAGCAGCGGTAAGGAGTGTCTTTTTGAACTATAAGGTCTGCAGCCTGTGTTTCAAAGAATGGTAATGCCAGCACTCCTTTAACTGCCTCAACTGGTGCCTCAGTAGGTCATCTCCACCCCCCAGTCTAATCCCTTTGGGCCTGGTTCAGCACTAGGACTCACCTAGAAATTGCAATCTTTGTGGATTAGACTGCCTTTCATGTTTATTTAGTACCCCAAGGCCCTTTAGCCAGTGGTGGTGAGGCTTTTGCGAACTCAAGTTCTAACCACTGGGATCCATGTGTCCTCTCTGGCTAGGGCTGGTTTAAATGCTCCCTCTGTGAGCAAGCATCAGCTGAGTTTGGTCTGGTGGTTCTTTATGGTATAACAGGGCAGCATTGAGTTTAATTCCTCAATTTCTAAATTTTTCCTCTTCCCAGTGCACGGAAACACTCTCCACACCTCACTGCCACTGCCACTGCAGTGGGCAGGGTTGGGGTGGTGTCAGTGATACAGGACTGTTTTTCCTACCTCTTCAGTGCCTCTTTCAGTGTTATAAAATTAAAATCAGGTACTGTGAGTGCCCATCTGATTTTCAGTTATTATGAAGATGCGTCTTTATGTAGATGTTAAATTAATGTGCTTGGTGAAGGGATGATCAGCAGAACCTTCTATTCCATCATCTTGCTCTGCCAACCTCTGTATTGTGCACTTTAAAATGTGTTTAGAGGGTATATTTCATGTTAAATGTTACCATTGTGAAAATATTAAAATGAATGAATGAAAGAATAAATAAATAAAGTTATAAGTATAGAAGCCATACAAAGTATATTTTTGGACCACAGTAGAATAAATTAGAAGGAAAGTTGGAGAATTTACAAGTATGTGTAAATGTGCACCTAGATAATCAATGAGTCAAAAAATAAACCACAATGGAAATTAAAATATACTTTGAACTCAAAGTAAAAACAGTACATACAAAACTTAGGGGATACAGTGAAAACAATGCTTAAAAAGAAATGTATAGCTTCAAAACATCTACATAAAAAAGAAGAAAGACCTCAAATCAGTAACCTAGTCCTCTATTTGTATGACATGGGACAAAAAAAAAAAGCAAACTACAAATCCCAAAGCAAACAGAAAGAAGGAAATAATAAATGAGAGCGACTTAAATGACATAGAGAATTTAGAAAAGGTCAGGTGCTATGTCTCATGCTGTAATTCCAGTGTTTGGGGATGCCAACGCAGGAGAATGGCTTGGGTCTAGGAGTTTGAAACTGGCCTGTACAACATAGTGAGACCCCATCTCTACCAAATTAAAAAGAAATTAGCCAAGTGTGGTGGTCTATATGTATAGTTTCAGCTACTTAGGTGGCTGAGGCAGGAGGATCACTTGAGCCCAGCAGTTTAAGGCTGCAGTGACTTCTTATCACACCACTGCACTTCAGCCTGAGCAACAGAGTAAGATTTTGTCTCAAAAAAAGGAGAAAAACCAATTAACCCAAAACTTAATTGTTGGAAAAGACTTTAAGATGAGAAAACTTTTAGCTAGATTGACCAAGAGAAAGAAAGCTTAAATTATTAATATCAGGAGTGAAAGAGGGGCTCTTACCTCTGATCTTACTGAAATAAAATAATTATAAGAGAATATTTTTGCCTGATGAAAAATTAGATAATTTGGATAGAATGAACAAATTCCTTGAAATACATAAACCACTAAAACTGGCTCAAGAGGAAAAATTCTGAATAGAACAATAAAAAATATAGAGATTAAATTAGTAATTTAAAAAATTTCCCCCTCCCCCACAGAATCTGTAGGCCTGAATGACTTCACTGGTGAATTCTACCACACATTTTAATGATACTTCATATAAATTCTTTACAAACTCTTCCAAATAATAGAAGAGAAAAGAGCACTACTTGACTCATTTAGTATTATCCAGATGCTAGAGTCAGATAAGGAAAAAAAAGCTACAAACCAATATTCCTTATGTATACCTACATAAAAATCATAAACAAAACTATAGCAAACAAATCCAAAAACATACATATAAAAGATTGTACACTATTACCATGTGGTATTTGTTCCTGGATTGCAAGGTTGGTTCAACATATGCAAATCAATTAATGTTACATAACATATTATGATCATCTCAATAGACACAGAAAAAGCATTTGGCATAATCCAACATGCTTTAATGGTAAAAAAAAAAAAAGCCAAAACATAAATCTCAACACACTAGGAATAGAAAAAAACTTTATCAATCTGATATTAATAGCATGTACAAAAAACCCATACCTAACATTATATTTAACAATGAAAGTCTGAATGCTTTCAAAATAATTTCCAGAACAAGACAGGATGTACACTCTCATCATGTTTATTAAACATTGTACTGGAGATTCTGGCTAGACCAATTATAAAGTAAAATGAAATACAAATAATTTAAGATTGGTAATGAAGAAGAAAATCTACCTCTATTTGCAGATCACGTGAGCTTGTATATAGAAAAGATTATAAGATCAACTAAGAAACTCTTAGTGCTAACAAGTGAGTTTACCAACGTTCCTCAATAGATCAAGATACAAAAGTTAATTTTATTTCTATATATGAACACTCCAAAAAATTCTTAAAAACAATTTTATTTGCAATAGCATCAACTGAAATCATACGAGCCAGAAGAGATTGAGGGCCTATATTCAACATTCTTAAAGAAAAAAAATCTTCAACCAAGAATTTTATATCCAGCCACACTAAGCTTTCTCAGTGAAGGAGAAATAAGATTCTTTTCAGATAACTAAATGCTGAGAAACTTTGTTACCATCAGACCTGCCTTACAAGAGATCTTGAAAGAAGTACTAAATATGGAAAGACCACTACCAGCTAATACAAAAACACACTTAAATACACAGACCAGTGACACTATAAAACAACCACACAAACAAGCCTGCCCAATAACAAGCTAACAACACAATGACAGGATCAAATCCACACATATAAATAATAACGTTGAATGTAAATGGGCTAAATGCCCCCACTTAAAAGACACAGAGTGGTAAGCTGGATAAAAAAGCAAGAACCAATGGTATGTTATCTTCAGGAGACCCATCTCCCACACAATGACGCCCATATGCTCAAAATTAAGGGAATGAAGAACGTCTATCAAGCAAATGGAAAACAGGAAAAAGCTGTGGTTGCAATCCTAATGGCAGACAAAACAGACTTTAAATGAACAAAATTAAAAAAAAGACAAAGAAGGGTATTTCATAATTCAACAAGAAACGGTAAAGGGTTCAATTCAACAAGAAAATGTAACTCCTAAATTTATATATAACCAACACAAGAGTACCCAGATTTATAATGCAAGTTCTTAGAGACTTACACAGAGACACAGACTTCCACAAAATAATAGTGGGAGACTTAAACAATCCACTGACAGCATTAGATAAGTCACTGTGGCAGAAAATTAACAAAGATATTCAGGACCTCAACTCAACACTGGACAAATGGATCTGATACACCTCTATGGAACTCTCCATCCCAAAACAACAAAATGTACATTCTTCTCATCACCACATGACACATACTCTAAAAAATTGTCTACATAATTAGACATACAACAATACTCAGCAAATGCAAAATGATCAAAATCATACCAAACACACTCTCAGACAACAGCAAAATAAAAATAGACATTAATACTAAGAAAATCACTCAAAACCATGCAATTACATGAAAATTAAACAATCTGCTCTTGAATAACTTTCAGGAAAATAAAGAAATTAAGGCAAAAATCAAGAAGTTCTTTGAAACTATTGAGAACAAAGGTATAACAAATGAGAGTTTCTGGGACACAGCTAAGACAGTGTTAAGGAGTGAAATGCATAGCTACTAAACCTAGCAGAAAACAAGAGACAACCAAATCAGAGCTGGATTTAAGGAATTCAAGACACACACACACACATACAAATGATTCAAAAGATCAGTGAATCCAGGAGTTGGTTTTTTGAAAAAATTAATAAGATAGGCTGCTAGCTAGAGTAATGAAGAAGAAAAGAGAGAAGATCCAAATAAACACAATTAGAAATTAGGAAGGAATGTTACCACTGACCCTACAGAAATAAAAATAACCACCAGAAACTACTATGAACACCTCTATGCACACAAACTGGAAAACCTAGAAGAGATGGAAAAATTCCTGGACACATACACCATCCCAAGACTGAACCATAAAGAAATTGATTTCCCAAACAGACCAATAACCAATAACAATCTCCAAAATTGAATCATTAATAAAAAGTCCTCAACAAAAAGCTTGCAAACAAAATTCAGCAGTACATCAAAAATCTAATCCACCGTGACCAAGAAGACTTCATCACTGGGATAAAAGGTAGATTCAGCATACATAAATCGATTATAATAATGTGATTTATCACATAGAACTAAAGACAAAACCAAATGATTATCTCAATAAATGCAGAAAAAGCTTTTGATAAAATCTAACACCATTTTATGTTAAAAACTCTTAATAAACTATGTATTGAAGAAACATACCTTGAAAAATAAGGGCCATCTATGACAAACCCATAGCCAACATACTGAAGGTGCAGATGCTAGAAGGATTCCATTTGAAAACTGGGAGAAGATAATGATGCCCTCTCTCACCACTTCTTTTCAGTATCATATTGGAATTCCTGGCCAGAGCAATCAGGAAAGAGAAAGAAAAAAAAGCGCATCCAAATAGAAAAAGAGGAAGTCAAACTATCCCTGTTTGCAGACAACATGATTCTATATCTAGAAAACCTCATAATCTTGGCTCAAAAGATTCTTCAGCTGATAAACAACTTCAGCAGTTTCAGGATGCAAAGATACAAAACCAATGTAGAAAAATTACTAGCATTCTTATACATCAACAACAGCCAAGCCAAGAGCCAAATCAGGAAGACAATTCCATTCACAATTTCCACAGAGGAATAAAATACCTAGGAATACAGCTAACCAGGGAGGTAAACAATCTCTACAATGAGAATTACAAAACACTGCTTAAAGAAATTAGAGAAGGCACAAAGAAATAAAAAAATTATGCTCATAGATAAAAAAGAATCAATATTATTAAAATAGTCATACTGCCTAAAGCAATTTACAGATTTTATGCTATTCCTATCAAACTACCAACAACATTATTCACAGGACTAGAAAACAACTATTTCAAAATTCTTATGCAACCAAAAAAAGAACCTGAATAGCCAAGGCAATCCTAAGCAAAAACATCAAAGCTGAAGCCATTATGTTACCCAACTTCAAACTATACTACAGTGCTTTAGTAACCAAAACAGCATGGTACTGGTAGAAAAACAGGCACATAGACCTATGGAACACAGCAGAGAGCCCAAAAATAATGTGACAAATTTGACCAAAAAAAAAAAAAAAAAAAAGCAATGGGGAAAAGCGTTCCTATTCAATAAATGGTGGTAAAACAACTGGCTAGCCATATGCAGAAGATTAAAGCTGGACTCCTTTCTTACACGATATAAAAAAATCAACTCAACATGGATTAAAGACTTAAATGTAAAACACAAAACTATAAAATCCCTGGGAGACAACTTAGGAACTACCATCCTTTATATAGGAATGGGCAAATATTTCTTGACAAAGACGGCATAAGCAATCACAACTAAAACCAAAAAATGACAAATGAGATCTAAGTAAACTTAAAAGCTTCTGCACAGCAAAAGAAACTATGAACAGACTAAACAGACAATCTACATATTGGGAGGAAATATTTGCAAACTATGCATCTGAATAAAAGTCTAGTATCTAGCATCTGTAAGCTACTTAAATTTACAAGAGAAAAATAAAGAACCCCATCAAAGTGGGCAAAGGACATGAACAGACACTTTTCAAAAGAAGACATACATGCAGGCAACAAGCATATGAAAAAAGCTTAATATCACTGATTATTAGAGAATTGCAAATCAAAACCACAATGAGATACAATCTCACACCAGTCAGAATGGCTATTACCAAAAGTAAAAACAAACAAACAAACAAAAGAAAACAGATGCTGGTTAGATTATAGAGATGAGGGAACACTCATATACTCTTGGTGAGTGTATAAATTAGTTCAACCATTGTGGAAAACAGTATGGTGATTTCTCAAAGACCTAAAGACAGAACTAACATCTGCCCCAGCAATCCCGAGGTATATACCCAGAGGAATATAAATCATTCTACCAAAAAGAGATATGCATGTGAATGTTCATTACAGCACTATTCACAATTGCAAAGACATGAATCAACCTAAATGCCCATATATGACAGATAAAATGAGGGAAATGTGGTACTTAATCACCAGGGAATACTTTGCAGTCATAAAAAAGAATGAGGTTGTGTCTTTTGTAGCAACATGAATGGAGCTGAAGGCTACTATCCTTAACAAACTAATGCAGGAAAAGAAATCCAAATACCACATGTTTTAACTTATAAGTGGGAGCTAAATAATGAGAACTCATGAGCACAAAGAAGGGAACAACAGACACTTGGGACTACTTAAGGGTGAAGTGTGAGAGAAAACAGAGGAGCAGAAAAGATAACTATTCTGTACTAGGCTTAATATCTGTGTGAAAAAATCTATGCAACAAACCTTTGTGACATGAGTTTACCTATGTAAGAAATCCTCACACGTACCCCAAACCTAAAATAAAAATTTAAAAAGTCTTCAAAAAGAACAACATACTTAATCATAAATTTAACAAAAGAAGTGCAAGACAGGAACACTGAATAGTACAGATTTTGTTGAAATAAATTAGATAAGACCTACAAAAATGGAAGAGCAACCCATGTTCATGTATTGAAAGACTTAATATTGTTAAGATAGCAATCTTCCCTCAAATTCATCTGCAAATTCAACACAAGACCTATTAAATCCCCAGCTGACTTTTATTCATAAACTGAAATCTGATTCTAAAATTTATATAAAAATGAAAGAAAGACAGAATAGCCAAAGCAATCTTGAAAAGTAAGAATAAAATTGTAGCATTCACACTTTCTAGTTTCAGAACTTAATACAAAGCTATAGTAATGAAGATAGTGTGGTACTGGCATAAGAATAGACATACAGATGAATGCAATAGAACTGAAAGCCCAAAATTTAATTCATATATTTGTAATCAATTTGAAACAAGGATGCTCAAACAGTTCAATGGAAGAAAGAACAGTCTTTCAATAAATGGTGCTGCAGCAAGTGGATATGAAGTACTAATACATGGTACAAGAAAGATGAACCATAGAAACACACTAAGTGAACATAGGCAAACACAAAAGGCCACACATTATTTGGTTTTATTTTTGTGAAATGTTCAAAATAGACAACTCTGTAGAAGCAGAATGTAGATTGGTGTTTGCCAGAGAATGGGGGTAGGAAAGAATGAAGGGTTCTGCTAATGGTATGGGGTTTTTTTGGAAATAATAAAAAATGTTCTCAAATTAGATAATGGTTATGATTATATAATGTGAATTACATAACGTGATTATATATTGTGAATATACTAAAAACCACTGAATTTTACAGTTCAAATGCACAAATTATATAATATGAGAATCATATGTCAATTTAAAAAAAAGCATTTTGGGCATCTACTTTATGACAGACATTGTACTAAACTTAGCCTAGGATGATTGGCTGAGATGGGTCTCAGATATTTGGGGTTCACATTTTGGTAACCACAAAGGGGTTCTGAATGGAGATACCCCTGACCTTTCACAAATCTCCTATTGGTGCTTGGTGTGAGGTTGACCTATCTTTATGGCTCAAATCAACAGGACAATTTGCTAAGGCCTGAAGGTTTCGCCTTCAGAGAATCCATGATCTCCCCAAATTTGGTCGAGATCTAAAGTTTATTTTGCTGTACAACTCCTGTCTTTGCAATATTTCTTGCTTTCAATACAAGGAAGGCAAGTTTTCCTGCTTCCATGATAATGGAAGGCAGGTAACTCCTTTATGGAATTTGAGCTCACTTCCAATAAAGAAGAGTGTGTTTTTTCCTTCTTCTAGGATGGTAGGGAGCAGTCATCAGCCTGAGACTCATCCCTAGGTAAGTGACTGAATTGGGATTTTTCTTGGCTAAAGTTAAGATTAACAACCTGTCTTAATTTCACCTTACTGTTACAACACTCAGTAATCATATAAGTTGTGTGATTGTTTGTTTGTTTTGCTTAACTGCTTTGATTGTTTGTTTCTGTTTTTTTGTTGTTTCAGTCTTTTTTTCCATTAGTTTTGACCAACTCTATCTGATTTAATCAAATCCAAAGGAAAGGTCCAAATTATGGGGAAGAAGGCCTCTGAAGTGGCTAAATTCCACCTTCTCCCCACACACAAAAGTGGTGTGGTAGGGGGAGAAAAGCAGCTAGCAAAAGAAAAAATAAGAAAGATTTTTTATTTGGACTACTTAAAGGGTTTTGCTTATATAAGAAGAAGTCCACCTTTTTGCTAGCACGCGTGGTCAAGGCTCATATAATTCTTCCTTTTTGAAGACCGATGGTTTCAGTGTGGGCTCTTCCCAGAGCTCAGATATTCAGTGGAAAGATAGGTAGTCCCTATCTAAATAAAATTGGGCTCGTTATATAATCCTGTGATAGATTTCTATAATTGTATATTTGATTTGATATCCACCATTAATCTCTCCAGCACTACCAGACTTTTTTTCTCTGTACCTTGAGATGCAACTTTTGCTATCTGATTTTTCACCTAAGGTTTGTTTCCTTCAATATGAAGATTTAAGGCTATTTAGCTAACAACTGCTAGGGTAATGAAACAGGTTACCAAGAGTTTACAAGTCTAAGAGAGAAAAAAACAAAAGGCTGGACGCAGTGGTGCATGCCTGTAATCCTGGCACTTTGGGAGGCCAAGGTAGGTGGATCACCTGAGGTCAGGAGTTTGAGACCAGCCTGGCCAACATGGCAAAACCCCGTCTCAACTAAAATTAAAAAAAACATTAGCTGGGCTTGGTGGCAAATGCCTGTAATCCCAGCCTACTTGGGAGGCTGAGGCAAGAGAATTGCTTGAACCTGGGAGGCAGAGGTTGCAGTGAGCCTAGATCACACCATTGCAATCCAGCCTGGGTGACAGAGCAAGACTCTATCTCAAAAAAATAAAACAAAATAAAATAAATAAAATAAAATAAAATAAAATAAAATAAAATAAAATAAAAGGAGGCCTTATGAACCTATAAGATGTACTTCTATCGGCATGCCTAATATGTCTATGTATTTAAGTGTTGTGTACAGAATGTTTCGCTAACCAAAATATATAAAAGAGCTCTAATTTATTTGCTTAAGAAAAAATAAAAGCTCTTAAATGCTTTATCAGTAAAATGGAAAGACTAGTCAAATGCTTTTTCAAGTTTATGTAACTTAAGTAAAATCTTTAATAAATGAGCTGTCTTTAAAATTATTGGTAAAGTAATATTAGAAATGTCTTAAAAATTGCCAGCATATATTTTTGTTTGCATTTATTGATCAAGCAATTTTATTCTTATCCTTTCCAAGTACTATGAGGTGTCAAAACTGGGCATAAAGGTTACAAAACTATAATCCCAGCCCCCAACAGAATGATCTTTGCTTGTGTAATTTTTAATAAGACATTGATATTGGTTTAATGGAAATAACTACATCTTGAATTATTTAATAAATTACTATAACTTTTGGCTTTAGGCAGTCTAGTCCACAGGCAGAAAGGAGGTTTGTTTTGAGAAAGGACTGTCATTGTCTTTGTTTCAAAGCTAAACTATAAACTAAGTTCCTCCCAAAGTTGATTCAGCCTATGCCCAGGAGTGAATAAAGACAGCTTGGAGGTTAGAGACAACATGGAGTGAGTTAGGTCAGATCTTTTTTACTGTCTGAGTTATAATTTTGCAATGGTGCTTTTATAATTTTAAATTATGACTATCACAGTTTTCATAAATAATCTAGGTAAATGATTAAAATGAAATAATTAGGTAAATGTAATGGGATAAATACTTGTAGACAAACTTCTCATAATTTAGAATCTAAAGTAATTTAAATAAAATAAAAGATATTTTATTTTTGGGGTATTTTCTGATAAAGTATATATTATAGGAAAACTTTTTTCTAAAACAAAATGTGTCCTTTTTAAATAGGTGAATTATTTTTGTGTAATTCAAAGCTTATTTAAAGGTTATGTATAAAACAATGTAAAAGGAACCAGGAAATAAGGGAGATATAAATAAAGTTATAAAAATAAAGAGGTATGTTTTGGTAAAAAAACTTAAAGAAAAATAATTTTATATTAGACAGAATCTTGTATGGGGCCAGGCATGGTGGCTCACGCCTGTAATCTGATCACTTTGGGAGGCTGAGCTGGGTGGATCACCTGAGGTCAGGAGTTTGAGACCAGCCTGGCCAACATGGCAAAACCCCATCTATACTAAAAAATAAAAAATAAAAAAATAGCCGGGTGTGGTGTTGTGCACCTGTAATCCCAGCTACTCAGGAGGCTGAGGCAGGAGAATCACTTGAACCCAGGAGGTGAAGGTTGCAGTGAGCAGAAATCATGCCATTGCACTCTAGCCTGGGCGACAAGAGTGAATCTCCATCTCCATCATTTATATGATCAAGTTTGTCTATAATTAAAGGGAAATTATAATGGTCTTTCCAGAGATTGAGTTTGATGTAAAAAAGCACTTATATACTGAAGAATTTGTTAGAACAATAAAATTTTCTTAAGGGATTTATTTACTCTTAATGAATTATAAGAGATTTTAATTTTTTTAACGTAAAGTTCAAGTTTCATTGCATCTCACTGTTTTTAGTTTTCTCTCCTGTTTTAAAGGCGTAAAATACTAACACTCTCCTTCAACTCCTTTTCAGTTCATATAAGGTTTTTTTGTTTTTTTTTTTTTGCCTCAGGTTCTGTTTTTTGTTGCCTGATGCTAACAATGTTTTTTTTAAAGATCTGAAGGTGCAACATCATACTCTGTGCACTGCAGAAGGTCTTTTCTTTTGCGTTTTGGTAACTGGCCTAAAATATTTCATGTTTTATTAAAATAATTCCTATGCCATTATTATTATGTTTTTGTTTGCTTAGAAAATAACTGAGATTAAACAAAAATTAATTAAGGTTATTACATCAGTATATCTTTCTGTATGTGCTTTTAAATCCTTGTGACAGTGAGTTACAGGGATTTGACTCATGGGTCTCAAAAGGACATTAATTACTGCTAAATCTTAAACACTGACGGCAATTAAAGCCTCATCTTCAGGCCTAGTAGAAGATGCCAATCAAAATAAACCGAGACACAGGGCCAGAAATTAAAGCTATTCAACACCTCGAGACCAAGAGACTATTGTGGAAGAGGTCGGCATGTGCGACTGTAAGGGCTGATCTATAGGAATACAGTAAGTTCAGTTTTTCTATAAATGAACTATTAATGTCAAAGGCACACTGATGCAAGATCAGTATTTGATCCCCAGTGTCAGATTAAGAAGGTTTTATTGAAGTATTAACTGACTCCTTAATAAAGATTATAAAGGTTATAAAAGGCTTATGAGAGTTATACCTTAGAGTCAAGATTAAAATTTTATAGATTATTTATAAAATTTTGAAAAACAAATTTAATTTGCTTCATGCTGTTTTTAATAGGGCTTATTATTTGGAAAAGTATGTCTGCTCTTTAAAGAATGAAGTTTTTTGCCTTTTCATTGAGATCTTTGAGTTATCTCTTTGGTTAAATAAATGACTTATTTTACAATGACCTGTGATCCTATTTTGTGATATCAAGTGTTTCAAACCTTTGATATTTGACAAACTTTCCAAAATCAAATTATAAATTATGTATTTTCTGACCTAATTAATCCAAAAATGACATATTTGGCTTATTTGGTTTAAAAATCATACAGGAAGCATTGTCAAATATGAAATGGTGTTTTGTTTCCTTTGGGCTATTTGCTATGTGCCAGTTATTGCTATGTGTTCCACAATTATGGGAAACTCTTATAATTCTAATATAACTTAGTGTATGATATCAGTAATAATTATAATCGTTACATTAAATTATTGTGTGCCACAGAGGTAACAAATTTTCTTGCAAGTTGTGTCTTTGACTATGGCTGCCCTAAAACCTTTTGTTATCCACAGACAGTTGTTGTCTTGTTTTGGTCCTCTTTAGAAGTTGGTTTTATAATTAGCTATAAAACTCTAACAGGTGTTCTTGAATGCGGTTTCTGATAATTTTGGAGATTGTGACATCAGAATAGAGGAGAAACTTTCAGGACTCATGGAGAGTTGAAATGTTTATGAATATCAAGCAGAACAGGAATTAACTTCATGGATTGAACTAATAGAAGACTGAAGTAATCTTTTTGACTTTTGTCTTAAAATGTTGCTCATCCTTCGTTTTGTTTTCCAGAGTCAAGAAAACTTTTGAGTTGTTGACAGTTTTTAACAATTAAGTAAAGTATACTCCTGTGAACAAAATTTGGAGCATATTTCTCTCTACCTGATTTCTCCAGAATTTGGAAACTATCTGAGTATTCTTAACTTATGGCAATATAGTTATTTGCATAAGTGCAATAAGAATCTGTTTTTATTTGTAACAGGACACAATTGGAAGAACTCGTTATTTTACTAAGGTTTTGACTGGAATGGTGTGCTTTCCTTTAAGGAATCAAATTTGATTTTTAGAGCCAATAAAAGCCCATTGGGAAAACTGGCCTCACACCTTGTCTACACAGTTCTTGTACAGGGTTCCTGATATGTGGTTAGTAAAAAATATCACTTTCTGACAGGCCCAGGAGCCCCAAGTTTTCTTGGGACCCCAAGAGAAGAGGAATTTACCCAACTCATAGATATTTGATGGTACAAATCCATGGCTGGGCTTAACTTTAAAAAGTCTTATCTGAGATTCCTTCTATGGAACAAAGTTCCATCAAAGCCAATTTAAAAAGCCCATGTGAATAATAATTATTCTTGCTGCAATTTATATAAATAATTTGGCCAAGTATAATATAGCAAATCAGTCCTACTATGACTTGTCTTCAGTAAAAATAAAAAACTGGAGAGACAAAAAAAGTTTCAAAAATTATAGTATATCTGTTGTTAGATTCTAGTCTTTCCTAATGTTTTTCAATTTTTATTATTTTCTACAATTTGGACTTCATTCCAACTTTAAATGGCTACAAGTATCCAAAATATTGTTTTTATTTTTTCTTCTTTCATTTTTTTCCCTCATTTATTCTAATATTAAACCACTGAAAACTAAGCTGTGCTTTCTTAAAGCCCTGCAGACTGAAGCTAGACAAATTAAACTTCAGAAGAAAATAACAGCAACCTATTTACGTACATAAGCCACTTTTATACCTGCCTACTTGTGTATGGACTCCAGAGTAATGTGGCCTCAATTTTCCAGGGTTGTTCTTTTGTTTGTTGTTGTTTTTCTCTCTTCCCCTAATTTCTCTTCATAGGACATAAGACTTCACATCCTGCTAAAATGAGCTTTTCTGATAACTTGCGACATATCCATTGTCAGTCAAGAAAATAACATGACAAGTCTCAATCATTTTTGGAGATTTATTTGCCAAAGTTAAGGACACACCTGGGAGACAGGTCTATGGCCTTTCTTTGAAGATGATTTTGAGAGCTCCAAATTTAAAGGGGAAAGGGAAGGATATTGGGAAGCACAGAGCTTTCATATAAACAAAAGGGGCAAAGGAAAAATGTGTGGAATCTGCATTTTACATAAGATAACACATACAAAATGGGGTAAGGAACAATTAGATACGGATTTATGTCTGGCAGGCCAGGGTGACTGCACCTGTGAAGATAAGCTATCAGTCTGCATTGTCCTGGTGAAGTTTTAAACAGCTCACCAGGAATTTCCTTGTGGGCAAAATATGGGAGAGGCAGGTAGCTTTTCATCTTGCAGCCATCTTATTTAGGAACAAAAAGGTGGAGGCAAGTTTGCGTGACCCAGTTCCCAGCTTGACTTTTCCCTTTTAATAAATTAGTTTGGGGTCCCAAAATATATTTTCCTTTCACATTGCCCCCTCCCATCTTTTTCTTTAGAATCTTTTGGAGAAAAGCATTTTAAAAAGAATATGAGTTCTTGGCCTCAGGTTGTTTCTTTTCTCCTTTTTTTGCTAGTTTCTCATTGCTGGGATGGCTTATTCCTAGAAGTTTAGGTCCCATGTCACTAGGAAGGCTCATTCCTAGAAGTTCAAGTCCCACATTGCTAGGAAGGCTTATTCCTAGAAGTTCAGGTCTCATGTAACCAGGTAGTCTCATTCCTATAAGTTCAGGTCCCACATCACTATGAGGGCTCATTTCTAGGAAGTCTTGTCCCATGAAGGTAAAATATATATATATATATATATATACGTGTATATATATATATATATACGTGTATATATATATATACGTATATATATGTATATATATATACATACATATATATATATATATACGTATATATATATGAATCTAGGCCAGATTTATGGCAACAACAGGAAAGCAAACCTAGAAGCTGGGTTAGGCTATATCACTGCCTCCTCATTTAGAGCAATTTTCTGGGCAATTATTACCCTGGCCCTTCCAGTTGCACATCGACTTATTTGCAAGCACATACAATAACAACATTGTAAGTAAAAACAGGACAGAACACAAATCATTATTATTATTAATATTATAAGCAAGAGTTTCTGTCACTGAGTTCCCCAGGGTTCAAACCAACTGCTCAACCAATCGATCAGTAATGGTTTTTGATCTGGCAGTTTGGTTATCTGGGTTTTCATATCAGTCATAAGTTGGGTTATGTTCTTTGATTCATCTGGAATATACACACAACATTCAGTTTTTATGATGGCGCAATTCCCCCCTTGTGTTGCCATTAGTATTTCTAAAGCCATACAGTTTTGTAGCTCAGCTTTCCTCATAAGCATGACCTCTTCATTTAGCAAAGAGATAGATACTCATGTGGCCTTTTGAGTGTAATTCAGTAAGGCCTCTATATGCCATATAACATCTTAAATACCTATCTGTGGTATAAATATTGAAGCTAAATGATTATACCATTGGAATACCAAACGTGTCCAACAAGATTTTTAAATGAAAAAGGTTTGCTGGTTTTGGCAGGGTCTGAATTACTTATTCTTGTGCCCAAGCATAACCTAAGGAACATTATCCTAGCCACCCTGGAGGTAACCGCAGCCATAAATTAGTGCCACAAAACCAACATGTTTCATTTGGAGCTAGCCAATAAATACCTGGTCACTGCACCCAATTGATGGCATGCCAGTCAGTGTCTTGTAATATGATAATGTGGTCACCATGTCTTTTGGATATCCACCCCATATCTCACGTAGTGTTTAGGCATAGGTCCTTGGTGTGATTTCTTTGATCCCAGCACAAAGGAGCATTTTGGCTGAGTTGGCCAGTCAAAGGGGTGAGCCAGATAAATCCATCCCAAATTTGCATTATTTCATTTTGAAAATGGGCCATTGTTTGGGGCGTGGTTACCACCTTCTGTTTTAGTTGGGAGAATGCTAAAGTAAGTGAGAGCTAATGAGATGGTCCTTTGCATTGAAAATCTTTTCCCATGTCCCTTCTCCTTAAGAGTGTTTTTTATGAGCCAACTATAAATACTGCCCTTTGTTATGCCAGCACTAAGAATACCAGACCATTTTTTTTATACCTTAAGTTCTAGGGTACATGTGCACAACGTACAGGTTTGATATATAGGTATATATGTGCCATGGTGGTTTGCTGTACCTATCAACCCATCATCTAGGTTCTAAGTCCCATATGAATTAGGTATTTGTCCTAATGCCATCCCTCCACCAGGCCTCCACCCCCTGACCGGCCCTGGTGTGTGATGTTCCCCACACTGTGACCAAGTGTTCTCACTGTTCAATTCCCACCTATGAGTGAGAACATGCAGGGTTTGGTTTTCTGTCCTTGTGATAGTTTGCTGAGAATGATGGTTTCCAGCTTCATTCATGTCCCGGCAAAAGACATGAACTCATCTTTTTTATGGCTGCATAGTATTCCCTGGTGTATATGTGCCACATTTTCTTAATCCAGTCTATCACTGATGGACATTTGGGTTCTTTCCAAGTCTTTGCTATTGTGAATAGTGCCACAATAAACATATGGGTGCATGTGTTTTTATAGCAGCATGATTTATAATCCTTTGGGTATATATGAAGTAATGGGATTGCTGGGGGATTTTGGGCTGAGACAATGGGGTTTTCTAAATATACAATCATGTCATCTGCAAACAGTGACAATTTGACTTCCTCTTTTCCTAATTGAATACTCTATTTCTTTCTCTTGCCTGATTGCCCTGGCTAGAACTTCCAACACTGTTGAACAGGAGTGGTGAGAGAGGGCATTATTGTCTTGTGCCAGTTTTCAAAAGGAATTCTTCCAGTTTTTGCCCATTCAGTATGATATTGGCTATGGGTTTGTCATAAACAGCTCTTATTATTTTGAGATATGTTCCATCAATATCTAGTTTATTGAGAGTATTTAGCATGAAGAGTTGTTGAATTTGGTCGAAAGCCTTTTCTGCATCTATTGAAATAATCATGTGGTTTTTGTTGTTGGTTCTGTTTATGTGATGGATTACATTTATTTAGTTGTTTATGTTGAACCAGCCTTGCATCCCAGGGATGAAGCCAACTTGATGGTGGTGGATAAGCTCTTTGATGTGCTGCTGGATTTGGTTTGCCTGTATTTTATTGAGGATTTTTGCATTGATGTTCATCAGGGATATTGGTCTAAAATTCTCTTTTTTTGTTGTGTCTGTGCCAGGCTTTGGTATCAGGATGATGCTGGCCTCATAAAATGAGTTAGTGGGGATTCCATCTTTTTCTATTGATTAGAATAATTTCAGAAGGAAAGGTACCAGCTCCTCTTTGTACCTCTGGTAGAATTTTGCTGTGAATCTGTCTGGTCCTGGACTTTTTTTGATTTGTAGGCTATTAATTATTGCCTCAATTTCAGAGCCTGTTATTGGTCTATTCAGAGATTCAACTTCTTCCTGGTTTAGTCTTGGGAGAGTGTATGGGTCCAGAAATTTATCAATTTCTTCTAGATTTTCTAGTTTATTTGTGTAGAGGTGTTTATAGTATTCTCTGATGGTAGTTTGCATCTCTGTGGGATTGGTAGTGATATTCCCTTTATCATTTTTTTATTGCATATATTTTATTCTTCTCTCTTTTATTCTTTATCAGTCTTGCTAGCAGTCTATCAATTTTGTTGATCTTTTCAAAAAACCAGCTCCTGGATTCTTTGATTTCTGGAAGGGCTTTTGTGTCTCTGTCTCTTTCAGTTCTGCTCTGATCTTGGTTATTTTTTGCCTTCTGCTAGCTTTTGAATTTGTTTGCTCTTGCTTCTCTAGTTCTTTTAATTGTGATGTTAGGGTGTCAATTTTAGATCTTTCCTGCTTTCTCTTGTGGGCATTTAGTGCTATAAATTTCCCTCTGCACACTGCTTTAAATGTGCCCCAGAGATACTGGTACATTTTGTCTTTGTTCTCATTGGTTTCAAAGAACATCTTTATTTCTGCCTTCATTTCATTATTTACCCCATAGTCATTTAGGAGCAGGTTGTTCAGTTTCCATTTAGCTGTGTGGTTTTGAGTTAGAACTCTTAATCCTGAGTTCTAATTTGATTGCACTGTGGTCTGAGACAGTTTGTTGTGATTTCTGTTCTTTTACATTTGCTGAGGAGTACTTTACTTCCAATTATGTGGTCAATTTTAGAATAATTGTGATGTGGTGCTGAGAAGAGCATACATTCTGTTGATTTGGTGTGGAGAGTTCTGTAGATGTCTCTTAGGTCTGCTTGGTGCAGAGCTAAGTTCAAGTCCTGTATATCCTTGTTAACCTTCTGTCTCGTTGATCTGTCTAATATTGACAGTGGGTTGTTAAAGTCTCCCATTATTATTGCGGGGAGTCTAAGTCAAGTCACTTTGCAGGTCTCTAAGGACTTGCTTTATGAATGTGGGTGCTCCTGTATTGGGTGCAAACATATTTAGGATAGTTAGCTCTTTTTGTTGAATTGATCCCTTTATCATTATGTAATGGCCTTCTTTGTCTCTTTTGATCTTTGTTGGTTTAAAGTCTGTTTTATCAGAGACTAGGATTGTAACCCCTCCTTTTTTTTTTTTTTTTTTTTTTTGCTTTACATTTGCTTTGTAGATCTTCCTCCATCCCTTTATTTTGATCCTATATGTGTCTCTGCACGTGAGATGGGTCTCCTGAATACAGCACACTGATGTGTCTTGAGTCTTTATCCAATTTGCCAGTTTATATCTTTTAATTGGGGCATTTAGCCTATTTACATTTAAGTTTAATATTGTTATGTGTGAATTTGATCCTGTCATTATGATGTTAGCTGATTATTTTGCCCATTAATTGATGCAGTTTCTTCATAGCATTGATGGTCTTTACAATTTGGCATGTTTTTGCAGTGGCTGGTACCGGTTGTTCCTTTCCATGTTTAGTGCTTCCTTCAGGAGCTCTTTTAGGGCAGGCCTGGTGGTGACAAAATCTCTCAGCATTTGCTTCTCTGTAAAGGATTTTATTTCTCCTTCACTTATGAAGCTTAGTTTGGTTGGATATGAAATTCTGGGTTGAAAATTCTTTTCTTTATGCATGTTGAATATTGGCTCCCACTCTCTTCTGGCTTATAGGGTTTCTGCCAAGAGATCCGCTGTTAGTCTGATGGGCTTCCCTTTGTGGGTAACCTGAACTTTCTCTCTGGCTGCTGTTAACATCTTTTCCTTCATTTCAACCTTGGTGAATCTGACAATTACGTGTCTTGGGGTTGCTCTTCTTGAGGAGTATCTTTGTGGTGTTCTCTGTATTTCCTGAATTTGAATGTTGGCCTGCCTTGCTAGGTTGGGGAAGTTCTCCTGGATAATATTCTGAAGAGTGTTTTCCAACTTGTTTCCATTGTCCCCATCACTTTCAGGTACACCAATCAAACGTAGATTTGGTCTTTTCACATAGTCCCATATTTCTTGGAGGCTTTGTTTTTTCTTTTTACTCTTTTTTTTCTCTAACCTTCTCTTCTCACTTTATTTCATTAATTTGATCTTCAATCACTGATACCGTTCTTCCACTTGATCAAATCGGCTACTGAAGCTTGTGCATGCATCACATAGTTCTCATGCCATGGTTTTCAGGTCCATCGGGTCATTTAAGGTCTTCTCTACACTGTTTATTCTAGTTAGCCATTTGTCTAATCTTTTTTCAAGGTTTTTTAGCTTCCTTGTGATGGGTTCGAACATCCTCCTTTAGCTCAGAGAAGTTTGTTGTTACCAATCTTCTGAAGCCTACTTCTGTCAGCTCCTCAGAGTCATTCTCCGTTCAGCTTTGTTCCATTGCTGGTGAGGAGCTGCGATCCTTTGGAGGAGAAGAGGCGCTCTGGTTTTTAGAATTTTCAGCTTTTCTCCTCTGTTTTCTCCCCATCTTTGTGGTTTTATCAACATTTGGCCTTTGATGATGGTGACCTACAGATGGGGCTTTGGTGTGGGTGTCCTTTTTGTTGATGTTGATGCTATTCCTTTCTGTTTGTTAGTTTTCCTTCTAACATTCAGGTCCCTCAGCTGCAGGTCTGTTGGAGTTTGCTGGAGGTCCACTCCAGACCCTGTTTGCCTGGGTATCATCAACGGAGGCTGCAGAACAGCAAATATTGCAGAACAGCAAATATTGCTGCCTGATCCTTCCTCTGGGAGCTTCTTCCCAGAGGGGCACCTGACTATATTAGGTGTCTGTAGACCCCTACTGGGACGTTTCTCCCAGTTAGGCTACATGGGGGTCAGGGACCCACTTGAGGAGGCAGTCTGTCCATTCTCAGAGCTCAAATGCTATGCTGGGAGAACCATGGCTCTCTTCAGCGCTGTCAGACAGGGACGTTTAAGTCTGCAGAAGTTGTCTGCTGCCTTTTGTACAGCTATGCCCTGCCCACAGAGGTGCAGTCTATAGAGGCAGTAGGCCTTGCTGAGCTGCAGTGGTCTCCACCCAGTTTGAGCTTCCTGGCTGCTTTGTTTACCTACGCAGGCCTCAACAATGGTGGACTCCCCTCCCCCAGCAAGGCTGCCACCTCGCAGTTCAATCTCAGACTGCTGCACTAGTAGTGAGCAAGGCTCTGTGGGCGTGGGACCTGCCGAGCCAGGCACGGGAGAGAATCTCCTTGTCTGCTGGTTGCTAAGACCCTGGGAAAAGCACAATATTTGGGTGGGAGTGTACCTTTTTCCAGGTACGGTCTGTCATGGCTTCCCTTGGCTAGTAAAGGAAATCCCCCTACCCCCTGTGCCTCCAGGGTGAGGTGATGCCTCGCCCTGCTTAAGCTCGCCCGCCGTGGGCTGCACCCACTTTCCAACCCGACACAATGAGATGAACCAGGTACCTCAGTTGGAAATGCAGAAATCACCTGTCTTCTTCATTGATCATGCTGAGAGCTGCAGACCAGAGCTGTTCCTATTCTGCCATCTTGGAACAGAGCCTCAGACCATTTCTGTAATAAATTTTTGGTATTCTATCCAGGAGCCCCTGGAAAGAGGCATGATTCTGCATATTTAGCAAGTGTCCTTTTGTAACCTGTCTGCATAATCCTGAGCCCATTGTACAAACAGGTTTGTTTCATGGGCATCAGTGGGTGACACTGGCAAGAAGGTGTAGAAATACATGATTAATAATAGCAAGGCTGTGAACTTCATCTTAGTTACTAAAGTGTGTTAAATCAGACAACCGGATTACCCTGTTCCTTACGAGAAAGCAGTAGACAGTATATCTAGAACAATAATTATAATAGTAATTGTATAACAAACATAAGCATTTATTTATATACAGGCCTGGTCCTGTGTCTTGGGTTTAAGCAGTCCACATCAGCTGTCATCTGCTTCTAATTCTGGGTTGAAGGTCGATGTTTAGTGGACTGGAGGCAAAGGTCTTTGGTGGGAGTTACAGTCCATTCAGGAGGTTGTGCCTTTATAAGATGAGAGATGTGAATCCATGAGTATATACCCTCTAATTTTGCAGCACAGGGATTAGTCAATAGTACCTGGTATGGGCCCTTCCATCAGGGTTGAAGGGAATCCTTTATTAGATGTCTTTTCCAATAGACAAAATTTCTGGGTTGCAGATTGTGACCAGGTACCTTATCTTCAGGAAGCACACTGTGAAATTCTTTACCAAATATTGGCTTTTTTTAAGGTGATAAATAAGTCCCTCACAATATTGCAATATATCTCTCTTGAGAAAAGTTGGTTGGTTATGTTTGTTCTCACACACATGGGCCTTCCCGTTATAATTCAAAAGGGGACAGCTGAAGTTTTCTGAAAGGGGTGGATTGGAGTGTAAGCAGCACTAGGGGGAGAGCTTTGGGCCAGGAGAGGTAAAATGTCTCTGTGAACTTAGCCAATTGTGTCTTAATTATTCCACTGGTCCTCTCCAGCAGGCCTGAAGATTGGGGATGGTAGGCACAATGGAGATGTTGAAATAGGGGTCAAATTTTACAAGTATTTTGAAAAACCTGGCCAGTAAAGTGAGTTGTCCTGTCACTGTGAAGTTCACAGGGGACTCCCGACAGTGGGGTACTTTTTTTCTAGTAGGATTTTTTCAACTGCCATGGCTGTTGTTTGCCTGCAGGGAAAAGGTTCAACCCAATGGGAAAACATGTAGAGCATTACTAAAACATACTTGTAAACTTGAGATGATGGCAGCTGGATAAAATCAAGCTTCCATACCTCAAAAGTTTCAGCCAGGAGGGAAAAATGACCCTGGGCCCCATGGAGGGGATTTCCTGGGTTATATTTGGGACAAATAACACATTGAGAGTAAACTTTTTGTGCCACTGTGAAGGATGGTTTCCAGTAATATTGTTTACACCAGGATATCATTTTATCTGGATTCCAGTGGTTTAGATTATGGACATATTCCATAAGGGGCACCTGAAATCCCATTGAAATAATGGGTTTATTATTAGGTCCACACCATATTTGTTTCAGGAGACAAGTATCCCGCTGCCACTGCCTGTTTCCAAGTAGATTTCTCCTTTGTAGGAGCTATGTTCTTGGTTTCTTTCAACATGTTTCTAAGTGTTTCGGGTTTTATGGCCATTTCTTGGATTGGGTCTGGTGGCTTGGATGCTGCTCTTTTAGCAGTGGCATCACCCAATTTGTTACCATGACTTTCTGTGGTGTCTAATTTTGAGTGACCTGGAATTTTTATAATTGCCAAACATTTTGGTTTTAGAATAGCTTCTAACAGCTGTGATACTTGTTGTCCATTTTTATGGGTTGCCCTGAGGAGGTTAAATATACTCTCTCTTTTCATAGTATCCCAAAGTCATGAGCAACCCCATAGTGGCTGTCAGTGTAAATGTTTGCAGTCTTGTCTTTTGCCAGTTGACAAGCTCGGGTCAGGGCAATCAATTTGGCCGCTTGAGCTGATCTGGCTTGGGGAAGAGGACTGGCTTCAATTACCTCTAGTAATAAAACCACAGCATATCCTGCTGTAAAATTTCCATCCTCTTCTCTTATATAAGACCCATCTGTATACCATTCTATCTCAGCATTATCCAGTGGTGTCTCTTGTAGGTCTTTCCTGGGGTGAGAAGTCTGTCAGTCATCAGAACACAGTCATGAGGGGTTTTGTCGGCAGGACCCAGCATTAGAGTGACCAGGTTAATATTATTACAGCAGGAAATAGTAATATTGGAAGATGATAAAAGCAAAATTTCACAAGAGGCTAACTGTTTGACAGACAGATGTTAGTACGATGAGAGTTAAAAGGGTCTCAAGAGAATGTGGCACAAAAATGGTGAGGGGGGAACCCATAATTATTTCTTCAACAGACTTGTACAGAAGGGCTGTGGCTGCTATTGCTCTCACACAAGGAGGCAGCCCTCAAGCCACAGGGTCCAGCTGTTGGCTATAATAGCCTATATGTCTCTGCTGATCACCGTGTTTCTGGGTCGGTACCCTAGATGCAGTACCTCCAATTTTGTGTACAAAAAAAGAGAAAGGCAATTTGTAGTTTGGGTGCCCTAAGGTTAGGGCATTAGTTAGAATTTCCTTTATTTGTTGTACAGCTGATTGTTTCTCTGGAGTCCACATGATGGGATCAGATATTGTTCATTTTTTAGGTATGCAGACAGAGGTTGAGCCATCAGGGAGAAATTCGGTATCCAGTTTCTACAATAGCCTGCCAGGCCCAAAATTCTTCTAAGTTGTTTTCTAGTGACGGGCACTGGGAGAGCTACAATTTCTCTCCCTCTGTCAGGGTTAATACTCAGTCTTTTGACTGAGATAATATGACCCAAATACTTAAATTGAGGTAAGCATAGCTGAAGTTTGTCTTTTCACACCTTGTGTCCCTCGGTGGCTGACTGAGTGAATATAGGCTATCTTCCTGGGAGGAACATAGTGTGCTTGAACAAAGAAGAAGGTCATCCATGTACTGAATGATTGTTGAGCCCTGGGGAAAAATTATATTATCTAAATCAGCTTCTAATATTTGGAAAAATAAGTGGGACTTTCTGTATACCGTTGGGGCATTACAGTCCACGTATATTGTCATTCTTTCCAAGTAAAGGCAAACAAATACTGGCTCTCTGGATCTACAGGAATATTAAAAAAGGCACCGCAGAGATCCACAACTGAGAAATACTGGCTGGTAGTGGGTATAGCTGATAGAAGGGTGTGTGGGTTGGGAACTACTGGGAGCCTGGGTATTACGATATAGCTTATTGCACGCAAGTCCTGCAAAAACCTCCATCCTCTCCCACTTGGTTTCTTTGCGGGGAATATAGGGCAGTTGCGGAGGCTTGTGCAGGGAATAATGAGCCAGCAGCTTTTTCAGATAATCTTGTATGATAGGGGTAATTCCATCTACGGCGTTCTTCATAGAAGGTATTGTTTAAGCTTGGACAGGGGTTTCTTTGGGTTTATCTATCTCTACCTTTACCTGAGTGGGTGAGAATATTTTTCCTATATCTGTATTTGACTGAGACCATAAGTGGGAGGGGACATCCTTGAGCAAGTATCCCACTTCTGGTGTTAATAGGAAAATTGGGGAAGCTAAAAGGAGTTTTATTGTTTTCTGATGTTTATTCCAGCGTCTCTTATTCTCCCCTAAAATTTCCTCCTCTGTCTCCATTTTATTTTCCTGGTCACAAGATGATGTTTTAACATTACTAGTGCTAAACTGTGGAACAATGTCAGGACGTTTTTGAATTTGGTATTTTTGGTCCCCTGGTTCAAATTCTAATAAAAGTTCACCTTTTGATGAAAAAGAGACATGGGCATTATGGATTTTGAGGAGATCATGGCCCAAAAAATTGACAGGGGCCAAAGGGCATATAAGAAAGATATGGAGGCCGGGCATGGTGACTCACACCTGTAATTCCAGTACTTTGGGAGGCCAGGCGGGCAGATCACCTGAGGTCAGGACTTCGAGACCAGCCTGGCCAACATGGTGAAACCGCATCTCTACTAAAAATACAAAAATTAACCAGGCATGGTGGTGGATGCCTGTAATCCCAGCTACTTGGGAGGCTGAGGAAGGAGTATTGCCTGCACCCGGGAGGTGGAGATTGTGGTGAGCCAAGACTGTGCCATTGCACTCCAGCCTGGGCAACAAGAGTGAAACTCAGTCTCAAAAAAAAAAAAAAAAAAAAAAAAAAAAAAAGATATGAGACCTACTGAGCCTGTCACACTTAGAGCCTGTGGTGGGGGGGCTGAACCTGATGAAATAGTAAGGTATAGGTTTTGACTTAAAACATAAGATTGTTTTATTAGACACACCAACCATGTTAATTCTTCTATTACTCCGAGGAATGGGGTTTCTAAATAAGGTGGAATTTATCAGAGATATAGTCATGCCTGTGTCAATTAAGGCATTTGTAAGCTCATGGTTTATTATTATACTAACCTCTCCCAGTTTGTTTGTCAGGGTAGAATATTTGGAAAGGTGAAACCCCTGTACTTCCTCAGAGCATGCCTAGTCTTCCTGAGTTTCATTCTCCTGCCTTTTCTTTTGTTTCAACCTAGGGCCATCTGTTTTAAGGTGTCCTGGTCTTTTACAGTAGTAGCAGACTGGGAGGGAAGGGTTCTCAGACCGAGGGAGCCTAAAATCTATCTGACGCTGAGCGGTTGAGAAGTTAATTGCTTTAGCTTTAAATGCATAACTCGAGCAATCTTCTGTTTTTTCTTTTTTATTGTAGTGCAGGATAATTGGTCAGCTAAGTTAACTGGTTAATTAGTTCTGGCTGTGGCCCAGCTGGTCATGTTGCATTTTATAAGGGTGGCTAAATCATCATGTAGTCCATGTAAGAAATTTGCATTCGATAACGTATATTTTTGTTGTTTTCAAAGCAATCAGTTGACATCCCGCAAGAGTGTCTTAAAGTTTTATCAAAACATGAAATAATATAAAATTGATTTGTTTGTGTTCTGGTGGCATTTTTGGATTTTATTCCAATCCACAACCCTTTGGAACACTGAAGGAATAATATTTAACAGAGTGGCTGCTCGTTCCTACGCATCTTTATGCCTGTCTCCTGGATTTGGAGGGGGGCGCTGGTTGTTGGGGGCTCTACTGGACCTTCAGGAGTCAAGTCTGCTATAGGGTCTGACCATTCTGCTTTCTCCAGCCATTCCTTAGCTTTAGCTTCTAAGACCAACATGTGGACTAGCTGATAAAGGTCAGAATGACCTGGGTCATAGGTTCTAATAAGCTCAAATTCTCGGGCAAACCCAATTGGATCTTTATGGGGGTCAGGAAATGCTTTAACTATGCCATGTAATTCAGCCTTTGACCAGGGTTGGTAAACAGTCACTGGGGTTCCCCTATCTGTTACTGGTTGTTCTCAAAAAGGGGCAATCATGAGAGAAATCCCTGTGGAATCCCCCTTTTCCACATATCTGGGATAAAACTGGCCATTGGGACTGTCAGGGAATTGTCAGCAGATGGGGTCTTTGAAGTCAGATTCCCAACTGCCTCCTGTTGAGCAAGTGTTAAACATGCAGAAGGGGAAAACAAATCTTGCCCCAGAAGTTCAGAGAGGTCATGGTAGAGTGCAAGTATAGGTGGAGGAGGGAGGGGTCCCAAGGGGAAAGTAAGGGACTCTGAGGATTTCTTTAAGAGAGAAGAAAAATTAGAGAGTTCTTGATTAGCATTTCCAAGTTGCTTGTTTACCTTCTGCTTGTTTACCTTTGCCTCTTACTACTCTCCAAATACCACTGAAAATAACTCTTCCATTCTGATTGCTTAGTTTTTGTGCCTGCATTATCCATACTGGTTCACAGGTACACTAATTTGGGTATCTCAAAAGATCCCTATTTAGGCCATTGTAACTTAGAATCTGCTTTAGTTATAGTGGTCCACTTGGTTAAATATCTGCATGACAGTTCACCTAAGTATTTTGCATATACTCGGCCAGAGGTTCTAAAGGGGAAACTTTATGTTCCTCAGCTGCTGGGGTCTTAGAGGCCTTGTTTCCCATAATTTAGAGCTCCTCTTTGGATTTGACCAAGGCAGTACATGTGTCAAACCCAAAATGTGCTGCTTGCGAACTTAGCTTTTCAAGGTTGTTCCCCTCTGAACCGGTTTGGTCCACCTGTGTCGTGGCTACCTGGCACAAATGTGCCAGGAGCTAAGGTGTGAGAGGGGTCGGCTCCTTATATGCACCTGCTGGCTGAGATTAGACACTAAATATGTTCTTCTGAAAGGGAAACTTATTTAGAGCTGCTGCATGTCTTAGGGAGCATTTCTCCTAGACACCCTCATGAGATTCTCAGTTGCCTGAGAATGCCCCAAAAGGCTGAATGAAGGGAGTAAGGTGCTCTATTTCTTTGGAGTGGGAGACTCCACACTCATGAGCTAGAGTGTTCTGAGTTGGTCAAATCTGATAGGGGAAAGGACAGAAACATACAAATATACACATACACAAAAACAGAAACAAACAACAAAGCAGTTAAGCAAAACTTATAATAATCACACAAAATGTATGATTTCTGAGCACTCTAAGTATAAGCAGGAAATTGACACCAGCTGGTTGTTAATGCTAATTTTAGTCATTTAGAGAATTTGCAAGACAGAATCTCAAACCAGTTTCTTACCTAGTGATGGGTTCCAAGCTGGAGACCACTCTCTGCCGTTGCAGAAGCAGATGAGCTTGCCTTTCTTGGTGGAAGCAGGTGGAAAAACTCCCACAAAAAAAGGATTTTTTTTAACAGCCAATAAACTTCAGACCCCCAATCAAAAACTGTTGGAAGATCAGGAACCCCTGGAGGAAATAGGTCCCAAACTTCAGCAAATTCATCCTGTTGGTTCGAGCTATAAGGTGCCCAAGCCAGTACGAAGCACCAAGAGGCTAATAGCTGTAGGCCAGGTCACTTTCACTCAGGATCCCTCCGTGGTTACCAGATGTCAGTCAAAGAAAATGTCGAGACAAGTCTCAGTCATCTTTGGAGGTTTATTTGCCAAGGTTAAGGACACACCTGGGAGACAGATCGATGCCTTTCTTTGAAGATGATTTTGAGGGCTCCAAATTTAAAGGGGAAAGGGCAGGATATTGGAAAGCAAAGAGTTTTCACATAACAAAAGGGGCAAAGGAAAAATGTGTGAAATCTGCATTTTACATAAGATAACACAGACAAAATGGGGCAGCAGAACAATCAGATATGCATTTGTGTCTAACAGGCCAGGGTGTTTGTAAAGATAAGCTATCAATTTGCATTGCCCTAGTGAAGTTACAACATCTCACCAGGAATTTCCTTGTGGGCAAAATATGGGGGAGACTCGTAGCTTTTTATCTTGTAGCCATCTTATTTAGGAACCAAATGATGGAGGCAGGTTTGTGTGACCCAGTTCCCAGCTTGACCTTTCCCTTTGGCTAAATGAGTTTGGGGTCCCAAAATTTAATTTTCTTTCACACCATCTAGGAATAAACCTTTCTAGACTTGAGAGATCAGACAAAACCTGAGACCGGTGACTCATTTTCTTTTAAAATGCTTTTTCCAAAATATTTTCTTTAAATGGGGAAAATGTGAAAGGAAAATAAATCTTAGGTCCCCCAAATCACTAAGCTAAAGGGTAAAGTCAAGCTTGGAACTGCTTAGGGAATACCTGTCTCCCATTCCATTCAGTCATCCCTCTGCTCACTGAGAAAATGTGTATCTAATTGCTTCCTTTGGAAAGGCTAATCAGAAACTCAAAAGAATGCAACCATTTGTCTCTCAGGTACCTGTGACCCGAAAGCCCCCTTTCTGCTTTTCCCGCCTTTCTGGAGGCAACCAATGTACATCTTACATATATTTATTGGTGTCTCATTTCTCTCTAAAATGAATAAAACCAGGGTGTGCCCTGACCACCTTGGGCACATGTCATTAGAATCTCCTGAAGCTTTCATGGGTGTATGTCCTCAACCTTGGCAAAATAAACTTTCTCAATTAACCTGTCTCAGATATTCAGGGTTCACAGTTGTATCTGGACAGAGGAGCAGGGAAAATATGGGAGGTTTACCTTTCAGGGTAAACTCTTTTGAACTGTTTAATATTTTTTACCATGTTTGTGTATTTTAAGAAATTATTTCTATTAAATTAGTTTAAGGCAGTCATCAGTGCTATCATATATAGAATCAAATGGGCAGGCTTTAAAATGCAGTTTTGACAGTACTACTGCTAGGGGGTTTCATTCAGTAGGCCTGGGGTGGGGCCTGTGCATTGTCATTTTAACATGCCCTTAGGTGATTTTGATACAGGTAATGTTAAGACTACATTTTGAGAGGCAATTTTGTAAGAAATGCATGGAGCATATGAGAAACTTTGCCCCAGGAGCAAGGGACAGAATGACAAAACACAGAAAGTTTCCTGAATGGCTGTTAATTTTAGGGTATAGAAGGAAAATAAATTACTAAGCAAAAGGAAATGTCAAACTGGGAACTGCGAGGTTGGGCCAACCTGCCTCCCACTCTATTCCTAAATAAGATAGCTACAAAGATTTTAAAAAGCTACATGACTCTTTCACAATTTTCCCACAGGAAATATCTTGTGGGCCTCAAAATCTTTACCCTAAAACAATTCTGTTGAATTTTACCCTGGCAATGTAAACTGATAGCTTATCTTCACAGGTGTGAGACAGAAAGTCATCACTCTGCTCACCTGAGACAAATGCATATCTGATTGCTTCCTCTGCCCTACTGTTTATGTAAAAATACAGATTCATTGAGCTAGACTAAGTTGTGTACTCAGTGAAAGGCTGATCAAGGACTGAAAAGAATGCAACTTTTTTCTCTTATCTACATATGACCTGGAAGCCCCCACCTCAAGTTGTCCTGTCTTTCTAAACTGAACCAATATACATCATGTATTGTTTAATGTCTCATGTCTCCCTAAAATGTATAAGAGTAAGCTGCACCCTGACCACATTGGGCACATGTCATCAGGACCTCCTGACACTGTGTCATGGGCATGTCCTTAACCTTGGCATAATAAACTCTCTAAATTGATTGAGATCTGTTTCAGATATTTTGAGTTCATAACTTAGAGGAAAAAAATGGCCTGAAATTCAAACTTTTCCAATAAATGAAGTGTTTAAAACAGTGGATTGACATTCTAGACACTCACTCATACCCCTCAATTATCCTCCCCAACACATACACAGGGCAGCTGATATCTTCATTAAGCTATAAGAGCATTTTAATTAGCAACAACAGCAGGTTTAACTCATTCTATTAGGAAATAAATTTAGTAGGGGAGAAGCCTGACTAAGGGCACTTTCAGAATCACAATTACCAGATAGCTTCCTTGTTATTCCAGAAGCACTGCTCAGCATTCAAATAATAACAACTTACATTTCCATGTGCACTATGGTTTTGCAGAGTGCTTTTTAATTCTCATCCATTTTGCCCTGGAGCCTTCCCAACAACATTGTAAGATGAGAAAACTGAGACCTGAAGTGGTTTGATGACTTGACTAGCATCACATAAGTAGTTGACATCTTCTGACTCCTAAACGCTGTCTTCTTTGAATCTTATGAAAAGAGTCAGAAGGAAGATAACTCATGCTTATTGGGTACACACTCTTCCATGCACTTTATAGTCATGCCATTAAATTTTCAAAACAATCTTATGAAGCAGGTGTTATTACTCTCTCCATTTTGCAGACTGGGAGAGTAAAGTAAATTATCCAAGGCCACAGAGCTAATAAATGACAAAAACACCAACAATGAAGCAAAAAAAGCTGTGCAGTATATAAAAATATATTTTTCTGACTGATTACCACTTTAAAATTGAGAAAATCAGAGAATCAGGAAAAACATGGCCAAAAAATATAATGAATTCAAATTTAGGAATGAAAACAACAAAACTAAAATGCTATCTCCAGTGCTTTTTATGCCACTTTGGAGAACAATTAACAGGACAATAGATGGCCAAAAGGATCAGAAACTGCCCAAATGCCAATTGGAGGTGCCTCTAATAAATTCTGTAACTCCCACAGTGAGCCGTGTGGTAGCAAAAATGACCTTTATGATTTACTTTTCCCTGTGATTTTGCTATAGCCCAGTGAGTCCTGCTTCTCTTGACCTCCCAGAATACACACTCTTTATGCTGTCTACCTTGTATGATTGTTATTAATGTAGCTACCTAAGCTCACAGACTATGAGCTCCCTGTCTTTCCTACCCACTAAGCACAGCTCTCCACATAATAGTCACCCAGTAAAGGTTTGTTGAATAGCACAAATGAATAAATAATAGATGAACGAGTGATTCAGCCTAGGCTACCACGTGGAAAAAAAGGGAGAAAGTTTATGGTTTTCTCTGTATCTGGGCATCTCAGTAACATTTTTGTTTTGTGTTTGTTTTACTCCAACTCTATTGCATTTTTGTAAAACTTTCAGCAATTTTTAATTCTTTCTTGTCTGCTTACCTGTTCTTTCTCTCTTGTCTGTCGAATGAAAAGAAACATATTAGACTGGAAACCTGTAAGCTCCTAGGACAAAAGACTATGCTTATGAAAGAACCACTTTATACATACACGGTAGGTTCTCCATAAATATTTTTGATCAAAGAAATACATGTCTAAAAATATTTTCAGCAAGCTTTCTATCTTCTTTGTTCTAGGACACATTCAACAGTCCCCTGCCTTCAATCAAAGTATCTTAACAAAGAATTCTAAGAAATAAGCTTAGGAATTAGTCTAGTATTCTAGTTATAAATATCAGGGCTTCAATTTAACAAGTCGATATTGATCACCTATTGAGTGCTTAGCCCTGTAGAGAAAAAAAAGACAATGTTCCTGCCTTAAGCAGCTTATTGTCTCATAAAGGATAGCACACATATGCAAATGCTGCAGTTTTACTTTAGGTGAGGCACTAAGCACATCCATCCATTTGGAGGAACCAAGAAACTTTGCTTGGAACAGATGGCATTTGAGCCAGACTTGCATAAATTTTGCTAGGTAGAAATAAAATGAGAAGTATTTCAAGCAAGAAAGAATAGCTTAAGTAAGTGTGTACAAAAGGGAAAGTGACAAGCACATTCACAAAACAGCAAGGAGCCCAAGTTGGAGGAGTAGGCATTCATGTAGACAAGGCTGAAAGGGTAATTTGTAATAAGAGAGTGGAAAGCCTTAAAATGCTATGCTGAATTTAGACTTAATTTAGTAGTGATGAGGAGATAGAGATTATTTAGTAGAGATGGAGAAAGAGAATGAGCAAATCTGTCTTTCGGAAGATGAGTCTCAAAGCAGTATAGAAGATGAAATATGGACGGAGAGTGATTTGGAAACAGAAGGAAGATCACAGTTATCTTGGTAAGAGGTGAGAATAACTACCATTGATTAAGCCATTAATACATATTTGGAACTTCTAAAAGTGCTTTGTAAGTATGAGTAATTTAACAATTATAAAAACCCTTTGAGGTAGACATTCTTATAATCTTCATGATAGAGATGACATAATGAAGACATAGAATGTTTAGTTAACTCTCTCAAACTCACAAAGTTAGTGGTACAGTCAGAATTCAAACTCTGATTCTCTGACATCAGAGCCCAAGGTTTGTTTGCTTGATTTTTTAAAATGAAGAATTTATACAAATCACTAAGAGAAACCCTAAGATACTGTTTTTTTAACAGGAAAAAAGATATAGGCATAAATAGATTATTCACAAAATATATATTGGAAATATACATTGGTGAACGTATACATACACACATGCATTAATATGTATTAATAGATTAACAAAAATTCTAATCTATTAATCCTTACAACTACCCCATAACGTTATATTATTATTAGCTCCACTTTATAGATAAGAAAACTAAGACAGAGAAAGGTCAAGTAAATTGTCTAAGGTTATCAGCTAATATCAAGCAGAGGAGAAATACCATCCAGGTAGACTGTCTCCAAAATACACCTTCAACTATTCAACCACATCATTGGAAAGAAAAATGAGATAGCCACTTTCTTATGGACTGCTAATGAGATTTTGTTCATTTATTAAACAAACAAGTATTAACAACCTAATATGTGACAGGCACTATCTCAGGTGGTGGAAATATAGTGATATAGTAAGAATGACATGATATCTGCCTGTGTAACTTGTACAAGCTCATAAAATGATGCAGCTTTTGTAACGAGATATTTGGCAATTTATATTCAAACCTTAAAATATTCATATCCTCTAACTTGGGAATTCCACTTTTAAGTAGCTATGCAAAAGAAAGACATGGCAGAGGCATACTTATTCCCAAAGTTGTTTGTTGCAGCATTATTTATAATAGTTTGAATTTAAGCTTCATGAAGTCCACATACATGCGCACACACACAAACACACGTGTACATGTACAGATATATATATCTGTTGTATTTGCAGTGACATGTACAGGAACTGGCACCTGATAAATACTCAATAAATATTTGTTAAATTGATTGAAGAGCAAACATTAAGAGAAAACTGAATGCTCAACGAGACAGCTTAAGTATATTGCAGTATATTTATATAACGAAGACAACTATTATGATACCTATTAAGGGTTAAAATATGAAGAGGAATATTTATAATACAAAATTTAAAAAGCAAAATATAAATCTGTAAGTATGCTATAATCTCAACTATAATTTTTTTTAAAAAAAACAAATTGTAGAAGACTAAATATGGAATAATCCATTTGATATAAAACATGATAAATACACTTATGTATGCACCGACCAATTTTTGAAGGACACACAATACAATGCTCATAGTAATTATCTCTGAAAAAAGAAAATTGAGGAAGATATTAACTTTTCACATTTCATTTTCTGTACCACTTGAAATTTTTCTATGAGCATATTTCTTTTGTACTTAAAAAGTAAAGTATCTGGCCAGGAATGGTGATGGATCCCTGTAGTCCCAGCCACTCAGGAGGCTGGGGTAGTAGCATCACTTGAGCCCAGAAGTTTGAGGCTGTAGTGCACTATGATCACACTATGAATAGTCATTGGACTCCATCCTGGGCAACACACACCTCATCTCTAGTAAGTAAGTAAGTAAATAAATAAATAAAGCACCCTTAAAACGTTTATCAAATAAGGAAAGGTTTACAGTTATTTTGTGTTGGGTGTTTGAGCCCTGTTTTTTCCAATTTTTTTTGAAAGAAACATTATTTTTAAAATAGAAAAATAAAACTGATAAAATGTACAATGGGTAAGGTCTGAAATGCAAAGTGCTTGAAAGTTGTCACTCCTCTTCTCACAACAAGCAAACAGCTGAAAAAACCAGATGTCAGCAACTCTTCTTAGATTTGTCAGAGAATTGAAGTTATAGAGCAAGTCATGACCCCTAAAACTGGAGAATTTGGTGTATACAAAGAATACTGGCTTCCTGGAATAAAAAGTTGCTGCTGGATCCTGGTAGGAGCTTTTAAGGCATAATTGATTAATTGCTGGAAATTGAGCATGGACCACCTTGAGAGATAAAAACTTCTAGGTAATGGGTCTTAGGAGGTCCCCACCTGGTGCTCACCATGAAGATTAGAATAAAAGCCTTTTATGCTTTGGTCAGAAGAAGGGGAAAAGTAAGCATTTTTTAAAAATGCAATCTGTTTTTCTTGAAAAAGCCTGCCCTCAAAAAAAGTATTTTATCAGCGCCTAAGCAAGGTGGGTTTTGCCAGAGTATAGCCAACATGGGAGAAAGAAAATACTCAACTCTAATTCCTTCTAGCCTTTTACTTAACTTGAGGCTGGATGTTGGGGAACAGTCAAGAAGAACTTGTGAACGAAACAGTCCAGAAGCACAGGCTTACTAAAAGATGGAAAGATGGAGACCTAATCATAGGATTATAGACTACTTTCTCTCCCCTACACTTTACCATCATACCAATAAGCCTCCCATATAACAATAGGGAATTATAAATGAAAGAATGTAAGGCTCAGATGCTATTTAAGAAGGAATCTTTAGATAAATCCAAAGACAAAAAAGGTGGGGGGGTGCAAAAACTAGAATACCAGAGGAAATTTTAGCATCCGACCCTTCCAGGTAAAGAAAATATTAAACACAGCTTTACTCTTAGACAGATAAACTTAAAACCTCACACTCAAATATTATTTAACTCAGTTCCTTTTACCCAATGCATTATGTCTAGCTTTCAACAACAATGAAATTACAAACTGCTTTACCAGGAAAAAATAGTTTGAAGAGAGAAAGTAAGCATCAGAACCAGACTCAGATATGGCCGAAATTTTGAAAGCATTACATTGGAAATTTCAAATAACTGTGATTATCATGCTAAGGCCTCTAATAGAAAAAGTAGACAAAATGAAAAAACAGATAGGTAATGTAAGCAGAGAGATAAAAACTCTAAGAAAAAAATGTAAAAAATGTTACAAACTGGCGTGCGCCTGTAATCCCAGCTACTCAGGAGGCTGAGGCATGAGAATTGCTTGAATCCAGGAGATGGAGGTTGCGGTGATCTGAGGTCGCGCCATTGCACTCCAGCCTGGGTGATGGAGCAAGACTCTGTCTAAAAAAATAAAAAAAAACAGGCATGGTGGCTCCCACCTGTAATCCCAGCACTTTGGGAGGCCAAGGCAGGTGGATCACCTGAGGTCAGGAGTTCCAGACCAGCCTGGTCAACATGGAGAAACCACGTCTCTACTAAAAATACAAAAATTAGCTGGGCATGGTGGTGCATGCCTGTTATCCCAGCTACTCGGGAGGCTGAGGCAGGAGAATTGCTGGAACCCAGGAGGCAGAGGTTGCAATGAGCCAAGATCAAGGCACTGCACTCCAGCCTGGGTGACAGAGTGAGAACCCATCTCAAAAACAAACAAACAAACAAACAAAACAAAAAAACAGATCTTACAAAAACTCACTATCATGATAACAGCACCAAGTGGGATGGTGTTTAACTATGAGAAACCATTTCCATGATCCAATCACCTCTCACCAGGCATCAGCTCCAACACTGAATATTACAATTCAACATGAGATTTTGGCAGGGACACAGATCCAAACCATATCAAGTAGTATGCGAGATTTCATACTCCTTACTGTATTGGTGAATACATTGGTGGTATTGATATTGGTAGTATTGGTGGTATTTTTAAAATCTTTGCAAACATGAAAGATAAAAATAAGTTGCTTTATTGATTTTAGATTACTAATAATGTTTAAGAGTTTTAAATGTATATCTCTTTTGTATTTTCTCTTCTAAAAATTATCTGTTATCTTTTATATATTTTTATTGGGTGTCAATATTATTACTATTGGTTTGTATAAACTGCTCAAATATTTTTCTGTTTTATAATTGGCTTTTAACTGCATATATTTTGACAATAAAATTGATAATTTGAATTTTAATTGTTAGTATTGCATAGGCCAAAGTATTAACATATTTAAATTTCAAAAAAAACAAAAGTGTGTCTATTGAAAAGTCCCCATGGCAAATATGTCTCAAATTATTCAGTTCCCCTTGCCACAGGCATCCAATGTTAAGTTTCTCAATTCCTTTTACATACATTGTACATGTACATGCATCCATATAATAAATACATGTATGTACATGTTCCCTAGCCCACTTTTTCTGTAAAAATCCTCTGCACTTTAAGTTTTACACTTAGTGCATTTTGGATATGATGTCAATATAATGAATATGATGTCATTCATTTTTATGGATGCTCAGTATTTCACTATATGGCTGTACAATAATTTATTAATGTTTCCTCTGAATATTTTCATTGTGATATAATTCATACATCAAAAAAATCCGTTAGAATGGTATTATTCAGTGGTTTTAGTGTATTTATAAAATTATCCAAGCATTACCACTAATTTCAGAATATTTTATCCCCCCAAATAGAAACTTCATGCTCAGTATTTTTTCCCCTGCCCCCACAGTCCCTGGAAACCACCAATCTACTTTTTGTATTTATGATGTTACCTATTTTGGACATTTTATGTAAATGAATTCATACATAAATGGCTATTTTTATTTTTCCCTTGGTGTAATGTTTTTGAGGTTTCTCCATGTTGCAATACATATCATACCTCATTTATTTTTATTGCTGAATATTATTCCTTTGTATGGATACACTACTTTTTGCTTACCCACTTATTAGTGTTTTAATATTTAGGTTGTTTTCTTTTCCTGGCTATTATGAATAATGCTATAATAAGCATCAGTGTGTAAATATTTCTGTGTAGACATGTGTGTTAAATTATTGTGGGTATATAACTAGGTGTGGAATATGGTAATTCTATGTTTAATACTTTGAGGAGCTGCCAAACTCTTTTCCTAAAGTAACTGTGCTATTTTATGTTCCTATCTGCAATGTATGAGGTTTTCTATTTCTCCACATCTCTGCCATTGGAATTTAGATAGGGATTGCCTTGAATATGTAGATTAATTTGGGGACTGATGCCATTTTAACTAGATTTGTAGACACAGTTTTCTTTAGTCCTTTAGAAGTACTTACAATGGCTAATTTAAAGTTATTTCCTGAATAAATGCTCCCAAAATTGCTGCAGGCCTCTGAACAATTTTTAGAATTTGGAAAAAGTTTGTCCTGACAAATTTTGCCAGTTTCTTATAGCTTTTATTGAGTGGAGACTTTTTAGAGGTCTTTACTCCATTAATTTTATTGGCATTTGGTACAACCATATTAACTAGTTCCCCATTCATGGTAATTTAGGTTGTCTTTACTATAAAAATGCTGTAATAAATAATCTTATAAATTTATAATTAATATCATGACAGTATATCTATAGAATATATTTTTATAAGTTGGGTTTGTCAAAGGGCATGTTGATTTGTAATTTTGTTAAACAGTTCTTTCAGGAATGAAGGTTTTTCAGAAGTGAAAGTTTGTGTCACCCCATCAGGTAAAGAGCCATGGCCAGCTGGGGTGCTTGCTGAGTAAAAAGGGAATTTGGATTGTTTAGTGGAAGAAGGAAATTATAAAAATCAGTTATGGCTAGTCATTAGTTACAGAAAGAACTGTAATTGTTATGAGTATTTCTTTCTTAATTTGTTGTGAATACATGTGCATGTGTATTAGAAGATTTTTGAGTTTATACTATAGTATTTAAGTATTGTTAACTTTACATCACAGTATATAATTTATAGACCATGAAGTAGAAGAATGAATGTAACTAAAGGACTTTTCATCCTTTCCTGGAGAAGGGGCTAGTGTATGTTCAGTTGTGTATATAATGGTTGTATCACGTTAGGTGGTATCATGATCTTGCAATTATCATTATTTGATGTTAAATATAATTTAATACGATGTATGTAAGTGCCAGGTAAACAAGGGATGAACTTGTGATGTTTGATTTCATGTATCACCTTGGCTAGGAAACAGCATCCAGATATTTGTTTAAACATGTCTGGATGTTGCTATGAAGGTTGTTTTTATGTTTATTTATTATTATTATTGTTATTTTTAACTTTTATTTTAGGTTCAGAGGTACATGGGCAGGTTCATTACGTAGGTAAAGTGTATGCCATGGGGAAATGGTAAACAGATTATTTTGTCACACAGATAATAAACATAGAATCTAACAGGTAGTTTTTCTATCCACACCCTTCTCCCACCTTTGGCCTCGAGTAGGCCCTGGCATCTGTTTTTCTATTCTTTGGGTTTAGCTCCAACTTATATGTGAGAACATGTGGTATTTAGTTTTCTGTTCCTGTATTAGTTCACATGGGATAATTGCCTCCAGCTCCATCTATGTTGCTGCAAAAGAATTCATCTTGTTCTTTCTTATGACTGTGTAGTATTCCATGGTGTATATGTACCACATTGTTTATCCAGTCTACCACTGATGGGCCTTTAGGTTGATTCTATGTCTTTGCTATTGTGAATAGTGCTGCAATAAACCTATGAGTGTATGTGTATTTATACAGAAACATTTATATTCCTTTGGGTAAATACCCAATAATGAGGTTGCTGGGTTGAAAGGGGAATCTGTTTTAAATTACTCAAAAAATTATCAAACTGCTTTCGACAATGGCTGAACTAGTTGATATTCCCACCAGCAAGATATAAGTGTTCCCTTTTCTATGCAAATTCATTAGCATATGTTATTTTTTGACTTTTTAATAACAGCTATTCTGACTGGTATGAGATGGTATCTCATTGTGTTTTTTAAAAAATTATTATTATACTTTAAGTTCTGGGATACATGTGCAGAACAGGCAGTTTTGTTACATAAGTACACATGTGCCATGCTGGTTTGCTTCACCCATCAACCTGTCATCTATATTAGGTATGTCTTCTAATGCTATCCCTCCCCTAGCCCCTAACTCCTCGACAGACCCTGGTGTGTGATGTTCCCCTCCCTGTGTCCATGGGTTCTCATTGTTCACCTCCCACTTATGAGTGAGAACATGCAGTGTTTGGTTTTTTGTTCCTGTGTTAGTTTGCTGAGAATGATGGTTTCCATCTTCGTCCATGTCCCTGCAAAAAGGACATGAACTCATCCTTTTTCATAGCTGCATAGTATTCCATGTTGTATATGTGCCACATTTTCTTTATCCAGTCTATCATTGAAGGGCATTTGGGTTGGTTCCTTTGCTATTGGGAATAGTGCTGCAATAAACATACTTGTGCATATGTCTTTATAGTAGAATGATTTATAATCCTTTGGGTATATACCCAGTAATGGGATTGCTGGGTCAAATGGTATTTCTGGTTGTAGATCCTTGAGGAATCACCACACTGTCTTCCACAATGGTTGAACTAATTTACACTCCCACCAACAGTGTAAAAGCGTTCCTATTTCTCCACATCCTCTCCAGCATCTGTTGCTTCCTGATTTTTTAATGATTGCCATTCTAACTGGCATGAGATGGTATCTCAAAGTGGTTTTGATTTGCATTTCTCTAATCACCAGTGATGATGAGCTATTTTTCATACATTTGTTGGCCACATAAATGCCTTCCTTTGAGAAGTGTCTGTTCATATCCTTCATCCACTTTTTCATGGAGTTGTTTGTTTTTTCTTGTAAATTTGTTTAAGGTTCTTGTAGATTCTGGATATTAGCCGTTTGTCAGATGGGTAGATTGCAAAAATTTTCTCCCATTCTGTAGGTTGCCTGTTCACTTTGATGATAGTTTCTTTTGCTGTGCAGAAGCTCTTTAGTTTAATTAGATCCCACTTGTCAATTTTGGCTTTTGTTGTCATTGCTTTTGGTGTTTTAGTCATGACATCTTTGCTCATGCCTATGTCCTGAATGGTATTGCCTCATTTTTCTTCTAGGGTTTTTATGGTTTTAGGTCTTACGTTTAAGTCTTTAATTCATCTTGAGTTAATTTTTGTATAAAGTGTAAGGAAGTTGTCCAGTTCCGGTTTTCTGCATATGGCTAGCCAATTTTCCCAACACCATTTATTAAATAGGGGCTACTTCCCCCATTGCTTGTTTTTGTCAGATTTGTCAAAGATCAGATGGTTGTAGATGTGTGGTGTTATTTCTGAGACCTCTGTTCTGTTCCATTAGTCTGTATATCTGTTTTGGTACCAGTACTATGCTGTTTTTGTTACTGTAGGCTTGTAGCATAGTTTGAAGTCAAGTAGCATGAGGTCTCCAGCTTTGTTCTCTTTGCTTGGGACTGTCTTGGCTATATGGGCTCTTTTTGGTTCCATATGAAATGTAAAGTAGATTTTTCTAATTCTGCAAAGAAAGTCACTGGTAGCTTGATGGGAATAACATTGAATCTATAAATTACTTTGGGCAGTATTGCCATTTTTACAATATTGATTCTTCCTATCCATGAACATGGAATATTTTTCCATTTGTTTGTGTCCTCTCTTATTTCCTTGAGCAGTGGTTTGTAGTTTTCCTTGAAGAGGTCCTTCACGACCTTTTTAAGCTGTATTCCTTGGTATCTTATTCTCTTTGTAGCAATTATGAATGGGAGTTCACTCATGATTTGTTTCTCTGCTTGTCTGTTGTTGGTGTATAGGAATGCTTGTGATTTTTGCACATTGATTTTGTATCTTGAGACTTTTTTGAAGTTGCTTATCAGCTTAAGATGTTTTTAGGCTGGGACGATGGGATTTTCTAAATATGCAATTATGTCATTTGTGAGCAGAGACAATTTGACTTCCTCTCTTCCTATTTGAATACCTTTATTTCTTTCTCTTGCCTGATTGCTCTTGCCGGAGCTTCCAATATTGTGTTGAATAGGAGTGGTGAGAGAGGGCATCCTTGTCTTGTACCAGTATTCAAAGGGAATGTTTCCAGAGTTTTCCCATTCAGTATGATATTGGCTATGGGTTTGTCATAAATAGCTCTTACTATTTCGAGACATGTTTCATCAATACCTAGTTTATTGAGCGTTTTTAGAATGAAGGGGTGTTGAATTTTATTGACTGTCTTTTCTGCATCTATTGAGATAATCATGTAGTTTATATCATTGTTCCTGTTTATGTGATGGATTATGTTTATTGATTTGCACATGTTACATATGTTGAGTGTTTTGCATTTATTTTCATGAAGGATATTGGCATGAGGTTGTCTTTTTTTTGTTGGGTCCCTGCCAGGTTTTGGTACTAGGATGATGCTGGCCTCATAGAATGCGTTAGGTAGGTGTCCAATTCCTTTTGAAACTATTACAATATTTTTCTAATTTTTTGGAATAGTTGCAGTGGGAATGGTAGCAGCTCTTCTTTACACACGTTGTAGAATTGGGCTGGAAATTTGTCTGGTCCTGGGATTTTGTCTGTTGGTGGGCTTTTTATTACTAATTTAATTTTGCAACTCATTATTGCTTTGTTTGGGGATTCAATTTCTTCCTGGTTGAATCTTAGGAGGTCATGTTTTCATGAATTTATGAATTTCTTCTAGGTTTTCTAGCAAATAAACCTAGAGGTGTTTATAGTAGTATCTGAGGGTCTTTTTGTATTCTTGGGGCTTTGGTGGTATTGCCTCCTTTGTAATTTCTGATTGTGTTATTAGAATCTTCTCTCTTTTTAAATTAGTATAGTTAGTGGTCTGTCTTATTTATTTTTTCAAATAACCAAATCCTAGATTCATTAATATTTTCTATGGTTTTATTTGTCTCAATTTTCTTCAGTTCAATTCTGATTATGGTTATTTTTTGTCTTCTGCTATCTACGGGTTTGATTGGCTCTTGTTTCTATAGTTATTTCAGGTATGATATTAGGTTGTTAATCTGAGATCTTTCTAACTTTTGATTTAGGTGCTTAGTCCTATAAACTTCCTTTTTAACACTGCTTTAGCTGTGTCCCAGAGATTCTGATATATTTTATCTCTGTTCTAATTAACTTCAATGAATTTCTTGATTTCTGCTTTAATTTTATTGTTTACCCCAAAATAATTCAGGAGCAAGTTGCTTAATTTGTATGTAATTCTGTGGTTTTAAGCAGTCTTGTAAGCATTAATTTATATTTTTATTGTGCTATGATCTGATAATTTGGTTGGTTTGATTTTGGTTTCTTTGAATTTTCTCAGGATTGTTTTATGGCTGATTGAGTGATAGATTCTAGAATATGTGCCATGTACAGATGAGAAGAATGTGCATTCTGTTGTTTTTGGGTAATGAATTGTGGGGATGTCTATTAGGTCAATTTGGTTCAGGTCCTGAATTTCTTTATGTTAGCTTTTTGCCTTGATGATCTGACTAATACTCTGTGGTGTGTTGAAGACTTTCACTATTATTATTTGGTTATATAAGTATTTTTGTAGATTTCTAAGAACTTACTTTATGAATCTGGGTGCTCTTATGAATATTGGGTGCATATGTATTTAGGATACTTAGATCTTATGTTGAATTAAACCATTTACAATCATGTAATGCCCCTTTTTGTTTTTTTCATCATTGATCATTTAAAGTTTGTTTTGTCTAAAATTAGAAGAGCAATCCCTGCCTTTTTTTGTTTGTTTGTTTTCTGTTTACTTGGTAGATTTTTCTCCATCTCATTACTTTGAGTCTATGTGTGTCACTGCATGTAAGATGGGTCTCTTGAAGACAGCATACCTCTGGGTCTTGCTTCGTTATCCAACTTGCAACTCCATGCCTTTTAATTGAGGTGCTTAGCCCATTTACACTCAAGGTTAATATTGATATAGAGGGATTTCAACCTGTCCTCATCTTGTTAGCTGCCCATTATGCAGACTTGTTTTTATGGTTGCTTTGTAGTGTTAATTGTCTATGTATTTAATTGTGTTTTGAGATGGCTGGGAATAATCTTTTCTTTCCAGATTTAGCATTTTCTTCAGGACCTCTTGTAATGCAGGTCTGGTGGTAGCAAAATCTCTTAGCATTTGCTTGCTGAAAAGGATCTTTTTTTTCTTCTTTAGTAAGAAAGCTTAGTTTAGATGGATATTAATTATTTGGTTGGAATTTGTTTTTTTTAAGAATACTGAATACAATCCCTCAATCTCTTCTGGCTTGGAGGGTTTCTGTTAAAAGATTCCCTGTTAGCCTGGTGGGGTCCCTTTGTAGCTGATCTTTCCCTTCTCTATAGCTTCCTTTAACAATTTTTTTCTTTTATTTCAATTTTGGAGAATCTAATAGCTATGTTCCTTGGGAATGGTCACCTTATGTAGTATCTTGGAGGAGTTTTCTGCATTTTCTGGATTTTTAAATTGTTGGCTTCTTTAGCAAGGTTGAATAAATTTTCATGTATAATAGTCTCAAATGTTTTCCAAGTTGCTTGCTTTCTCTCTCTCTCCTTCAGGAATCCCAATGTGATATAGATTTGGTATCTCTACATAATTTAATATTTCTCAGAGGTTTTGCTCATTCTTCTTTAATTTTTTATTCTTATTTTTTTTCTGACAGCGTTATTTTGGAGAACTGGTCTTCGAAACTCTGATTTTTTTTCCTAAGCTTGGTGGATTCTGCTGTTAATACCTGTGATTGTATTCTGAAATTCTTGAAGTAAGTTCTTTAGCTTTATCAGATCAGTTTGGTTATTTCTAAAATGATCATTTCATCTTTCATCTTCTGTATATTTTTATTATATTCCCTAGAATTCTTTGATTAGATTTTGACCTTTTCCTGAATCTCAATGATCTTTGTTCCTATCTATATTCTGAATTCTATTTCTGTCTTTTCAGCCATCTCAACCTTGTTAAAAACTTTTGCTGGGGAATTAGTGTGGTTGCTTGGAGGTAAGAAGACACTTTGGCTTTTTTTGTTGCCAGAGTTCTTGCACTATTTTTTTCTCACCTGTATGAGCTGATGTTCAGTCAATCTTGAAGATGCTGTACTTTGGATGGGTTCTTTTGCTTTTATCTTCTTTGATTCCCTTGGGAGTTTAATTGCAGTACAGGGTTAGTTCAGCCAACTGGCTTCATTTCTTAAATATTTTAGAGGGCAAGGCACAGGTCAGCACTTCTGGCTTTGAACTCTAACTCTGTGGCACTGGTGTTGGGCTCCCATGTTTGTTCTCTGGCCCTTCAAGGTTAGCAACTTGCTGCACTGGATGAGCCAAGGTTTCCCAGAAAGCTAGCCACAACACTCCAAAGGGTGGCGCTAGCCAAAGTGCTCTTTGTCAGGGCAGTGGCAATGGAATCTATGCTTGTTGGTATGTGCCAGCTACGGCAGCAGTGTGGCAGGATGCACACCCACCAGCTGCGGTGGGCCGCCAGTGGGTGCAGGGCTGCTGGCCTCCATGTACAAATTAATATGAGTAAACTTAGTGGCATGGAATGTGGGGCAGGGCTGGCAATCTCCATGTTGTGTTTACACCAGTGGTGGCATTGGCATGCGGATGGAGAGCTGGTGAGCTCAGGGCCGTCAGCCTCTGTGCGTGCATTTGTGCTGGTGGTGGCAGCAGGGAGGGGCTTGGTGGGCAGAGAGAAGGGCCGCTGGCCTCTCTGTGAACATTTGTTTGGCAATGTTTGTGCATTGAGGAGGTCTGTGCTCATGCCAACGTCAGTGGTGCAGTACAGTGCATGCACACATGCATGCCAGTGTGGAAGGAGAGGAAAGGTCTCCCTGTGTGCCCATAAAAGGGGAAAGTGGTGAAGGAGGTGGCTATGGATGAGTGCATGTGGGCAAAGTGGTGTGGGGCAGGCTGTGGTGGGAAATATGTGTTGGTAGGCTTGTATATGTTGACAAGGGCCACTTTGCTGATGCTCTCTTATAGTCAGGTGCAATCTGCTGGTGAAGAAACTGATGCAGGCTATGGAAGAATGCCAGTTGAGCATCCAGGGCTCCATTTCAAGTGGGCATGGCCACAATGGGGCCACAGGAGAGGTCCTCGGGTAGAGGGGTGCTTATATCTGACTTGACCCATTTCATGAGCAAGACTGCCCTGCTCTGTTGAGGTCCAACAGTTCCCCTAAGGCTAAAGTTTTCTAGGAGAGCATGGCAAGCTTTGGGGAATGGGTTTTCCAGACTGTGCTCCACTGCAGATGTTCCTACACCAAACCCTGTCTGCTCTTCACAGGCTGAAGTCCTGCAGTACCATATCTCTAAGGAGCCCTCCCTGCCAGCCCAAGTGTTTGTGGAGATTATGGCTACTTCTGTTGCTAGGATACCAGAAGTCCATGCCAAGAGTAGATCACTCCACACCTGTACCACTAATTGCTTTCCCAGGAATCACTGGGGGCCAGTGTGTTGTAGTCCTGGCAAAGTTTCCAGCTTCCTCCATCTTTAGCCCAGTATCTGTTTACTTCCTCTGTCCACTCTCAATGCCTTTCTTCTCAAGATCTGCTTGCCATGCAGTCTTCACAATTTCACAATCTCTTGGTGGTAGATATTTTTCCTGACTGCATCTAGTCTACCATTTTGCTGTGCGCTCCCCATTTTTATTTGTAACTGTATATATTTAAAGTGTATAATATGATATTTTGATATACATATACATAGTAAAATGATTACTACTATCAAGCCAATTAACAAATTCATCATCTCAAAAAGTTATTTTTGTGTGTGTGTGGGGGGGTAAGAGTACATAAAATCTACTCTCTTAGCAAATCATTATAGAATATAACTATAATTTCTATGCAGTACATTAGATTTCTGGACTTATTTATCCTACATAACTACAATTTCATACCTTTTGACCTACATCTTTAAAATTATCCACATGCTTAAAATGATCAATTTTATAGTATGGATATTTTGGCACAATTAAAAATTTAAAACATAATTTATATTAAGTGCTCAAAAGTGTTCCTAGCATAGTCAAGGTTTAATAAATTTTAACTATTTTTAAATAATAATAACTGATAAGGTTTAGCTGTGTCCCCACCAAAAATCTCACATTAAATTGTAATCTCCATAATCTGCACATATCAAGGGCAGAACCAGGTGGAAGTAATTGGATCATGGGGGCAGTTTCCCCTGTGCTGTTCTCGTGATAATAAGTGAGTCTCACATGATCTAATGGTTTTGTAAGCATCTGGCATTTCTACTGCTTGTATTCACTCCATCCTGCCACACTGTGAAGAGGTGCCTGCTTCTCTTTTGCCTTCTGCCATGATTGTAAGTTTTCTGAAGCCTCCGTAGCAATGTGGAACTGTGAGTCAATTAAACCTCTTTCCTTTATGTAATTACCCAGTCTTGGATATTACTTCATAGCAGTGTGAGAATGAACTAGTACAATTATAATATGTAATAACATTGTTATTTTTGTACTTAAAATCTGCAAGATGTTCTGGCAAGGGCATCTGCTTTATTCTACCCTGCCTTATTTGAATACAAGCTTGTAAATGTCTCCAGTTTTGTTTTCAGAATATTGGGATCTACAGAATTAATTGGGGATCAACCGGAGAGGTAGTGATCCCCAAAGCCTTAAAAAGTGACTGGATTTAATCTGCAGCAGTATCAATGTAGATCCCCAGGATTGTTTAGGGGTAATGGAGAGCACAAGATGAGCAGGGTAGTAAATTAGCTTATATTACCTGTTTATATTTATAGAATCTTGAAAGCTTTGGCTTTGAACTTGCAATATGCACCTTTTGGTAGTTTCAAATGTTCTGGATGTAGGGCTCACTGTATATTCACACTAACTGCATGAGGTAATGGCCTCTGTTTTCTGGTTTAAAAAATTATTTAATAGATACTGGTTTGTTTATAATTTAAATAACGAAAAGGGACAAGAAAGAAGTAAAATAAAGTGGAGGCTTGTTTGGGCCTGCACACAGTGCTGATGGTAGTACTTCCAGGTAAAGTGTAAAGTGTAGGTTTCCAGGAAATGGGGTGGAAGATCATAGAGGAACTATGAACATACAGGTTGGAGAGGGGTAGACAGTCATGCCCAGCTCAACTGGAGCTATTTAGCTGATCATTGCATTTTACCATTCCCGCTAAATAGAAGCTATTGAGTACTTTAGACACTCTTCTAAATGCCATGGATTAAATAATAGAAAAAGACAAATGTACTACTTCATGAAGAAGATTACATTTTAAGTGGGAGTGAATACAGCATGAATAAATTTGTGGCAATACTGGACCAAAACCCAGTCCATAAAATGACCCACTGCTCTTAAATCTATCAGAATTTAAATTTTAATATAGATATTAGTTACATTTAGTTCTTTTTGGATTCAGGATGTCTGGCTGAAAATATCCTGCAGTTGGGAGTTCCAGAGCAATGATGGCAGAGAATGGGTGTTGGTTGGATCTCCCATTTTCAGCAAGTTTGTGCACAAGGTAACTTTTACTGCTCCAGTAGAGAACTAGCGGTAGTGTCCCCATTGCTGAGAGTTAAGTGGGAGATGATTCTGCTACTGAATTGTGTGGACTTCTCACACGAGTCACTATCAGGGTGCTAGGGCTCTTTTTTAAGGTAGAAATGGGACTGAATAAATTGCATGAGTTACTTGGTATTTGTAACTTTTTTTATGTACCAGATGTTGTAAGGTACTTGGGTGACTTTATTTGACTTAAATTGTCAAGGATGAGACAGGTCAAGACTATTTACATGGTGACCTACTTTTGAATAAAAAATAAAAGACTGAAAACAAATTGGCTTTTAAAAAGTTTTTTTTTGTGTAGAAATTTAAGGAGTACAAGTATAGTTTTGTCACATGGATTCATTGCATAGTGGTACAATCTGGGCTTTTTGTGTAATCATCACTCAAATCATGTATATTGTACTCACTAAGAAATTTCTCATTCTTTTTTTTATTATACTTTAAGTTTTAAGGTCATTCTTTACTCTCTTCCACTCCTGAACACTTTTGAGTCTCCAATGTCTATTATTCCACATTCTATGTCCATATGTGTGTGTTATTTACCTACTACTTATAAGTAGGAATATATATTTGACATTTTGTTCTAAGTTTTTTACCTAAGATAATGGCCTCCAGTTCCACTCATGTTTCTGCAAAATAAATGATTTTATTTTTTGTGGCTGAATAGTATTCCTGTGTGTGTGTGTGTGTGTGTGTGTGTGTGTTCGTTCGTGTGTTTGGATAGATAGATACATAGATGTCTCTGTGTGTGTGTGTGCATGTGTGTGTGTATTTAGATAGATTGATTGTTAGATACAAAGATTGATCACTTTTTTATCCAATTAAACATTGATGGAAATTTAGGTTGGTTCCATATCTGTGCTATTGTTAATAGTACTGTGATAAACATACAAGTGCAGATTTCTTTTTCTTTCTTTCTTTCTTTCTTTCTTTCTTTCTTTCTTTCTTTCTTTCTTTCTTTCTCTTTCTTTCTTTCTTCTTTCTCTTTCTCTCTTTCTCTCTCTCTCACAGGGTCTTTCTCTGTCACACAGGCTGCAGGACAGTCATGTGATTATAGCTCATTGTTAACCTCAAACAACTGCACTCAATCAATCTTCCCACCTCAGACTCCCAAGTAACTAAGACTACAGGAGTGAAATAACATGCCCAGCATGTAGAGATGAGATCTTGCTATCTTTCTGTGTTTGTTTTCATTGATATAAAGCAATACTTGAGACTAGTAATTTATATTAAAAAAGAGGTTTAATTGGTTCATGATTTTGCAGGCTGCAGAGGAAGCATGGCACCAACATATGCTGGTGTTGCATATGTTGAGGGCCTCAGGAAGCTTACAATCATGGTGAAAGGTAAAGGGAGAGTAGTTGTATCACATAGCGAGAGTGGAAGTATGAGAGAGAAGAGGGAGGTTTCAAAACATTTTAAACAACCAAATCTTATGTAAACTAACTGATTGAGAACTCACTTATCACCAAGGGGATGGTGCTAAAACATTCTTGAGGAATCCATCCCCATAATCCAATCACCTCCCACCAGGCCCCAACTTCAACACTGGGAATTACATTTCAACATGGGATTGGGAGGAGACAAATGTCCAAACTGTGTAAGTTGCCAAGGCTGGTTTCAAAATCCTGGCTCAGACAATATTCCATCACCAAGCCTCTCCCAAATTTCTGGAATTAGAGGCACAAGTCACTGTTTCTAGCCAAGGTATCTTTTTGATATAACATTTCATTTTTTGAGGGGTGGATACCCCATAGTGGGATTGCTAAATTGAATGATAGTTATATTTTTAGTTCTTTGAGAAATCGCCATACTGTTTTCCATAGAAGTTGTAGTAGTTTATATTCCCACCAACAGTATATACGCATTCCCTTTTCTTCACATCCTTTCCAACATCTGCTACCTTTTGACTATTTAATAATATAATTTTGACAGGTTTAAGACAATGTCTTATTGTGGTTTTGATTTGCATTTCTCTGATGTAGTGATATTGAGCAGTTTTTCAGCTGCTTTTTGGCTATTTTTATGTCTTTTTAAAGATATCTGTTCATGTCTTTCAACCATTTATTTGGAGTTAATTGTTTTGTTGTTGCTATGGTTGTTGTTTGAATTCCTTATAAATTCTGGATATTAGTCTCCTGTTGAATGCATAGTTTACAAATATTTTCTCTCATTATGCAGGTTGTCTGTTCACTCTACTGATTATTTCCTTTCCTATGCTGAAGCATTTTATTTTAATTACATCTCATTTATCTGTGTTTTGGTTTTGGTGCTTGTGCTTCTGAGGTCTTAATCATGATTTCCTTGTGTAGGCCAATGAAAACTCCAGAAGAGTTTTCCACAGATTTTTTTTCTTTTTGTTTAAATTTTTACTTCAATAGTTTTTGGGGAATAGGTGGATTTTGGTTACACAGATATGTTCTTTAGTGGTTATTTCTGAGATTTTGGTGCACCCATCACCCAAGCAGTGTCCACTGTCTCCAGTGTGTAGCTTTGTATTCCTCACTCCTCTCTTACACATTCCCCTGAGTCCCCAAAATCCATTATATTATTCTTATGCTTTTGCATCTTCATAGCTTAGCTCTCACTTATCAGTGAGAACATATGATATTCGATTTTCCATTCCTGCATTACTTCACTTAGAATAATTATCTCCAACTCCATCCGGATTGCTGCAAATGCCATTATTTTTTTCTTTTTTATGCCTGAGTAGTATTCCATGGTGTATATATACATTTTCTTTATCCACTTGATGGTTAATGGGCACTTAGGTTGGTTCCATATCTCTGTCATTGCACATTGTGCTGCTATAAACATGCATGTGCTTATGTCTTATTCATATAATAAATTATTTTCCTTTGGATAGTTACCCAGTACATAAATTGCTGGATTGAATGGTAGTTCTACTTTTAGTTGTTTACGGACTCTCCATACTGTTTTCCATAGTGGTTGTACTAGTTTGCATTTCAACCAGCAGTGTAAAAAAGTGTTCTCTTTTCACCACATCCATGCCAACATCTATTGTTTTTTGACATTTTAATTATGGCCATTCTTGCAGGAGTAAGGTGGTATCTCATTGTGGTTTTAATTTGCATTTCCCTGATAATTAGTGATGTTGAGTATTTTTTAAATATGTTTTTGGGCTGTTTGTATATCTTCTTTTGTGAACTGTCTTTTCACGTCCATTGCCTAATTTTTTATACGTTTTTTTTTTTTTCTGATTTGTTTGTGTTCTTTGTAGATTCTGGATATTAGTGCTTTGTCAGATGGATAGTTTGTGACTGTTTTCTTCTGCTCTGTGGGTTTTCTATTTACTCTCCTAAATATTTCTTTTGCTGTGCAGAAGCTTTTTAGTTCAATTAGGCCCCATTTATTTATTTTTATTTTTGTTGTATTTGCTTTTGGGTCCTAAGTAATACATTCTTTGCCTAAGCCAATGTCTAGAAGAGTTTTTCTTAATGCTATCTTCAAGAATTTTTATGGTTTCAGGTCTTAGATCTGAGTTCGTTCCATCTTGAGTTGATTGTTATACAGGAGGTTAAATGTGGAGTCATGTACAGTCCTGGTGGATACCAGCTCTACCCTATTTACCATAAGCTCCACTTTAATGAGCCAGCAAATCCCTCAGAGTAAAAAGGTCATTTCTGTGGTGGGGATTTCAAATCAAGTTCAAAAGGTTCCCATAACTGAAACCATCCAATTAACTTTGGGGATCTTTTCAGAAAAATATCCTTTTTTTTTTCTATGTAATGCTGCTCCAATAAATTTTCTAGGGTGAGGTTTACTTTCAAAGCTAAAAGGGCACGTACAATTTTCCTCAAAGGGAGAAATAATCTTAGGGTTTCCTGATACTCTTGAACCAAAATTTTTATGCTATTTACAGGCAGAAATTGATAAGATTGAAACTCAGGCCTGTAATACCCCTAATCTTTCAAAAATACCTAAAAGTTTATGAGCCTCTTCCTCAACTGATATAGGAAAAATTAAAAGTGTGGAACTTGTGAGAGTCCAAATAGATTATTCTAAACCTTTGCATAAATTACCCCAATACTCACTAACACCCAAATGAATTCAAAGGCTCTCACCAATTGTAAAATAATTTAATTAAACAGGGACTCATAATTTTTCTACAATAGCCTTATAGCACTCCCTACCAGTTAAAAACCTATCAGTTAAAAAACCAAATAGACAAGGTTAGATACTTGTTCAAGATTTATGTAAAATTAATATAATTATAATACCAAGGTTTCCTGTAGTCCCAAATTCTAATACTTTATTGTTTAATGTACTCACTAATTTCAAGCATACTTGTACTGTAATATATCTCTACTTAGTCTCCTTTAGCATTCCAGTTTATAAAGAGAATAAATAGTTGTTTACCTTTACTTGGAAATATCAGTGGCATACCTGGACTGTGATGGCACAGGGGTTTACTGAAGCCATTTTATATTTTTCCCAGGCATTGAATCAGG